>NC_000002.12:19176422-19327937 GCF_000001405.40 Homo sapiens | reverse complement strand
GAGTGTAAATGAGACAGCAAGCAATGACAGCTCTTTTGAGGTAGCTTGAAATCTGTGAAGGAACCTCATAATTTGCAATGGGCTAGACATGAGTAAACCATGAACATTTTTGTTATGGCTGTGTTGTTCTAACATGGAAGTGTTTTCCAAATACTGCATTAGCCTCAAAAGAGCTGGGCATCAATGTGAGTATCTCTCAAAACTAGCTAGGAAGGTGTTAAGTCATCAAAAGGCTGCACCATTTCCAAGCTTCTGTAGAAGGAGCTCAGGGCTTGCCATATGGGGCTTCTTAAAACAGCACTAGCAACAGCAACAGCCATAATAGCAACAACAGTAAGTTAGAACTCTCATTCTGTGCTAAGCATTACACTAAGTATATATTTCATGATTTTCTCATTTAAAGTCCAAAACCCAATGAGGTCAATGTCATGTTATTTGCATCTTATAGACTTAGTACCTTATAGGCAGAGCTGTAGTCCTTCAGAATATTTGGTGAGACCTTGATTTTTATTACGTTTTTCATACAGGCATTGTTTCAAGACCCTGCTGAAAAGCAAGAGTGTAAAATGATTTTTAAGAAGTGATGCAGGGAATACTAAGTTTTCCCCAAGTGTTACCATGTGGATTGAGACCTCACTCTTCCTTCCTACTTCATTTCTCACTCATATGTCTTGGGAATGCAGATGCCATTTTTAATGGAGGCTGCTACGTCATTAATAAATAAAGCATAGCATCTGCAAGGGCCTTGTATGGTTGTGAGAAAAGCCTGATTGTCTTTGTAGTCCATCTCCTCTTTGACTCCCTACTGTGATGTCTGTGGCTCTTCTGCCCCTTGTAGAGGGAAGGTCTTGCTTCATTCGGAAGGAAGCAAAGTGCAAAGTGAGGTCACTCTTTGGTTTCTGCTAACTCTTAAGACCTTAACTTTCAGAAACATTTCAGAAATGTTTCCTAAACATTTACAAGAAACAAGAGGTATTTTGATAGGCTTATAAACTTTATTCAGTTTTAACAAATGAAGTAACTGATTTACTATACCAATAGGAATTACATACTGTGCTATAAAGTCAAAGGCCAAAATAGTTCAGATAGCTACAGCTTTAATTAAGACTTCAGTGCATGCTAGAGTGTGGGGAAAGTAACACTGCACAATCTATGGTCTATTCTTTTAAAAATAGTTTAGCTACTCAAGTTCTATTTTGTTTTCAAAGAGACCTTTATGGAAAACTTAAGAATATTGGATTCCTTAGTGACAGTTGTAGGTTTTCATTAGTAGCAGATGGGTCCATTGAAAGGGCTGAATGAAGAAATATGAATTGAAGTTAGGAGTCTGTTAGAAACCTGTCAATGTGACAATGTTTTGTACAGTAGGTTTAATACTTGGGTAGAATTAAGTACTCATTTCGTCTTCCTGATTACCCTTTTATCCCCTGTTTACTTGCACACACATAAACATTATTTCATATTTTATTCCTCCAGTATAATTTTTTCTTTATCAGCATGCTTTGGGTTGTTTGTTTTTTCCTGCCTTTAATTAATTATTATTATTATTCTGAAAGAAACCACATCTATAGGTATTGCATGTTTTTAAACACTCCTTCAAATGCCTGTCTTAGACTTCAGATCCTCTATTCATCCAGTAGAAACAAGCCCAGAAAATAAGATGTTTAGGGAGGGTTTCTGTACTTATTTTCACTCTGAAAAGTTTTTGGAGACCAAAACAATTGAAAGTGTCAAGGAAATAAAGAAACTCTCTGTGTGATTCTGGTTTCCCACTGTATAATCCTTAAGGGATTTTTCAGGAGTTGTTAGATGCTTATTATGAAAATTATATAATAAATACTCTTTTGTCACCATTAATTTCTCCTCCTCCTTTTTTCCTCTTCCTTCTTTACCCCCCTTCTTTCCCCCTCTTCCTTGTCTCCTTCTCCATATTAATATTATTATTATTAATTTTTAAATTTTAGAGACATTTACCCTGTCCTTTCAGATTTATTTAGCAGACTTTTGACTTTAAAGGGTCTGGGGTAAAAACCTTCCTAGAGTTGCAAATGTCTTTGCTCTTTCAGTACAACCATATCAACAGTCTCTTTTGGCTCTTGATATTGATTAAACACACTTTCTAGTGCATTTAATAATTATATGAAGCCCCTTTATATGGAGTTTACCATTGTGTGTGTGTGTGTGTGTGTGTGTGTGTGTGTGTGTCTACTCTGCCTAGTTCCTATTGATGGGACGTACGTAACATTGTAGAAGGAGATCTGGGGATAGTGTTGGAGAACCTGGGCTTGAATTTCTTCTCTGCCACTTATTTGATGCCTGACCTTGGGCAAGTCATTTAATCTTTCTAAGCATCTGTTTATCTATATAATGAGGATAATATCTAGCTCATATGTTTGTGTTGATTAAATGAGATAGTTTCAATAGAAGGAAAACTCATAAATTGTAAAGTTCTAGTTAATGTTAATATATAGGTTGCAATAATAATAGCAATAACAATTTAATTGGAAAAAAATCCTCTTGTTGAAGACTAGAGTTTTTCATGTGACACAGGCTATTTTAAGTGATATGGTAGAGTTAGACCATGATTTACTTAACCATTTTCTAAACTGGGGCAATTAAATTGTTTTAGGTTATCCAGGTCTATAAATAGCATGCCAATTGGCATGCTTATGCATAAATTTTTAATCTCAATTTTTGAGTGTCTCTTTGGAGCTTGGCTTCAGAAGGCCAGTCACTTTCTCCCATGGCTGCCATTGCTCTAGGCTCCTATCTTGTCAGTGCAGCTCTGCCCTTTGGAGAGCTCCTTTTCCCCTTGAGCCCTCCCTGGACTGCAGAAGGGCCTCCAGAAAGGCCTGGGTGTGAGTAGGGTTGCCAGAGAAGGCATGAGCTTTGTGGTTGTTTGGTGGACGGTGAAGCTGTACTAATAATGCCTCGTTGTTCTGGAGGACCTTTGTGTAGGAGGGGATGGGCAAAGCAGAGAACAAGAGAGAGGTGCTGCTTCCAGGCTTTGGATGCATGTTCCTGCCTAGAGTCCCCATCAGGATCCAGGGGTCTCCCCAGCTAGGCTTCATAGGATTACAATTGAACTCTCAACTCAATTTCTTCCAGAGAGAGCAATCCTGTCTGCACCGTCTCTCATCCCCCAATGTTGTCTCCAAAGTGAGGAGAGGGGGCAGCAACCCTCCAGGCTGTTAGCAGCTCTGTCTTTGAGTGAGTGGCCTGTGAAATGTTAGAGAAGACCCGAAACCCTCCTCCCTGGGTGGATATCACCTTCTTCCTTTGGATTTTATAAAGAACCTGATCCTCTTTGCCTGAATGGAGCCAAATAAACGGGAGTCTCAGAGGAGGTTGATGGCTCAGTCATAGAAGTCCCGCAGCGACGTCTGGTTTTGATGTATTGATGAAGGATATGATCACGCTCAGAGAACGAGATCACTTTTGCCAGTTTGAGAGAAAGGTCATGTTTTTAATTTAACTTAATTTCCTACACCAAAGAGAATTTTCAATAGGATATTCGACTTTTGCAACTTTAATGAGACCAGATGCTCTGGGGCCTGCAGCAATGAAGAGAAAACAGATTTTCTAGTTTACACTTCTACTTTGTGTATTTTCTAAATTGGGCATGTGTAGTTCCTTTAAGAATATGATTTCTCATTTGGGGTCTCTCTCTCTCTCTCCCTTCCTTCCCTTCTTCCTTCTTTCCTTTATCCCTTCTGATTTTTCTCCTTCTTCTAAGTATTATCTGACTGAGCACTCATCACAGGCTAAGCAATGTGCTTAGAACTTTACAAACATATATTTAATTTCCATTTTACAGATGTAGACACTGAGATTCAGGGAGGTTTTTAAAAAGACATTTAGCATATATTGTGTAGTAATTCATAGTAAATTACAGTCTTGGACTCTGACACCAAGTCATCTGGGTTCAAGTCCAGGTTTGGCCATTTACTTGTGAAGTAACCTGGGAAAATCACTTACCTTTTGATTACTGGTCTTTGTTGGTTGTCTTAAAGTTGCAGGTTTAGTTTTATTTTTAATGATGACAATTTTACATACAATAGGGCATATGTGTAGTTTATAGAGTAATAAAACAAATGCCTGGGCATCTGCTGTGGTGGATGTTTGTGTCCCCACAAAATTTATATATTGAAATCCTAACTTCTATGGTGATGGTATTAGAAGGTGGGGCTTTTGGGAGGTGATTAGGTCATGAGGGTGGAACCCTCATAGATGGGATTAGTGCCGTTATAAAAGAGAGCCTGGAGAGTTAGCTAGTTCCTTCCACAATGTGAGGACACAGTGAGAAGTCAGCAGACTGCAAGCAGGAAGAAGGCCCTCATCAGAACCCGACCATGCTGTCACCCCGATCTTGGTCTTCCTAGCCTCCAGAACTGTGAGAAATACATTTCTACTGTTTATAAGCTGCTTAGTCTATGGGATTTTGTCATAGCAGCCTGAATAGACTAAGACAGGACACATCTGCATAAGTTTCCCTAGGGTTTAGACCTAGGAATGGGATGGTCAGAGCTATGTATGTTCAACTTATGCCCACTATTTTCTAAATTTGTTGTAACCCATTTATTTTCTGATTGAAGACTAGAGAGTTTTAATTTCTTTATTTCTTCAACACGTTGTGTTGTCAGACTTTAAATGTTTTTGCCAATGTGGTGGGTGTAAATACATCTTATTGTTTTAACTAACAACTAATTTACAGTGAAATTGAAGAACTTTACATATATTTATAATGTTTATGTTTTCTCTTAGGTAAAGTCCCTTTTATTTTGTTATAATTTTTTTTGCCCACTTCTTTTAGAGTCTCATTTTTCCCATTTTTTTAAATTGGGGAACTGTTCTGGAAGCTCTCTAGTAATTTTAGAGCTCCATGCTCTGTGATTCAAAACCAGATACTTCAATGCAGCCAACTCTATGCTTTTATAAATTGTATTCTTCTTTTGAAACATGCTGGTCTATCGTAGGGATTGAAGTAGGGATTGAAGCCAGCTCAAGGCTCTGGCTGTTAGGCCAATGTACAAGGACAGTGTAGAAAAGGTCTTAGAATAGCCTAAGAGAGTTTTCTTTTCTTTTCTTTTAAACGTGCACTTTATTTTGCTCGTAGGCACAGGGGGCTCATTTCCTTTTTTTTTTCTTTTTCGAGAAGAGTGTTCTGACCCTAGTTGGTTATTTAAAAATTCACATTGACAATTAAAAATAAGATCTCTTGTTTCCTCTTCTATATTCCCTCAAATATATATAAGCTGGGCACACATTTATGATTGGGCAGAATCCAGATATTTTAGTTAAAGATATGTGGGGGTATCCTTCTTCTCCCTTTATCTACTATTCCTCCCTGATATTAGAATTAAGAAAAAATGCAAAGTTTAGGAGATAAATCTTTCCTGTTTCTGCAAGTCAAATACATGATCACAACTTATTTTTAGGATAATTTATTAGGTATCTTTTCACTTCTCCATTTCTAACTCAAAATTCCCTTTAGGTTTCAAAAGCAATAACAAAATCAAACAAAAATTCTCCAAACTGAGGCTCCAGTCAACCAACAAAAAAACAAATTTAACCTCCACAAAAGAACCCTGGCAAGCATGATCAAATCCAATATTACCTTTTGACTTAGATTAGGACTTAACATAGGAGTAACTAAAATTACTTGCACAACTGCCAGTGCTTGCTCCTACTTTAGCACCTTATCTTTTACTAGATCAGAAATCTCTGAACCAAAGAGGAAAAATGTGGTACAATGGGAAATCAGAAGATTCAAGGTCTGGCCACTTATTAAGCCTGCAGTAATGCTCTGATGTCATCCAAGGCTCAACTTACTATAACATTGCCAAGTGGCTGTGATGAGAACTTTTACATCACTGGCAATGAATAATGCCTGATTGGTAGGTGATGGTGGTTGTCAAAATCTCTTGAAAGCACTTTGTCTTTATGGAGTTTCCATCCTACATCAGAGAGACCCATGGTATGGGGTGTCTTGCCCTCCATGGACCTCAGAACAAAGCTGGGGATCAGGTCAGAAAGTTGGACCCAATCTTCAGAAGACTGGGTTACCAAAACTGTCTCTGCCAAAGAAGGCATGAGAATACACTGAAAGTGACAACTGTGAGGGCACTTGGCTTCCAAAGGGAGGTTATGAGAGATGGTTAAAATGACTTTGGAACTGGTAGCCCCTATTATATTCCCACAGGGCTGACCAGGATGGAGCTGGGTTGGGCAGAGGGTATGTATGGATTCTTTGAAGCCAGTGAACCAGAATGTTTGAGGAGCACACACAGGTTTCTTTCTTTCTTTTTTTTTTTTTTTGAGGCGGAGTCTCACTCTGTCACCTAGCCTGGAGGGCAGTGACACGATCTTGGCTCACTCAAGCTCTGCCTCCCGGGTTCGTGCCGTTCTTCTGCCTCAGCCTCCCAAGTAGCTGGGACTACAGGCGCCCGCCACCACGTCCGGCTAACATTTTGTATTTTTAGTAGAGACGGGGTTTCACCGCGTTAGGTGGGATGGTCTCGATCTCCTGACCTTGTGATCCACCCCCCCTTGGCCTCCCAAAGTGCTGGGATTACAGGTGTGAGCCACCGCGCCTGGCCCACACGGGTTTCTTTAACTTCACGATACAAAGTTTCTGGAAGTTCTGTTGAATTCTCTCAAAGCTGGAAATAGGTTTGGCCTCCCGGTGCCCTCCTCAAGCAGAGCGGCTGGCTCGTCTCTCTGCTACACATTTTGCCTCTAGGTAAAATATAATATCATTCTAACCAAGAGTTAAAACATCTAAAAGATGGAAAAAGTGAAAACCCTTGATTCATAGGATAGTAAGGTGGTAGTGATGGTTGTGGGGATGTTATGTAAACAATGACAGAGGCCTTCATTGGCCAGTGTTTACAACTATACACAGTCATTATCTAAAAGTATAAGCATAGTTTATTCTTAAATTGTTGGGCGGTCTTTGCATTACATCATACATTAACAAGGTCTAAATAACAAAATATCCTCATATATACTCCATGATTTTTCAAGACTTTATTAATTCCTCCCTCTGCTGGCTCTTACTACTGCTCCTAGAATTATTAATCTACTCCCACCTCCAAATGCTTGTGACCCTCTCTTGTGCTACAATGGCTAGTTCATCCTTCTTGGTTTTTTCTCCTGGTTCCCCTGGAAAAATCAAGTTGGGTTGTTTTGGGTATCCTATTTGCTTAGGATTTTGTTGTTGTTGTTGTTGTTGTTTATATTCTAGGTCAATGCTGCTGAAGCTTTAGTGAGCATCACCTGTAGAGCTTTTTAATATACAGATTCCTAGTATTAATCCCAACTAGTAGGTGAGGTGGGGGGTGTCAGAGAATTTACATTTCTAACAAGATACCAGGTGATGCTCATGTAGCTAGTTTGAGGCCTTAATTTGATTAGTGCTGTTCTAGATGGTACTTCTAAATGGATAGAGTTTATTTACATATTTAGTATAATACATGAAAACTTTTATTGTCTTGTGGTTTCAAAATAAAAAATGTAGTATATAATACAAATCAATTTTAACCAGTGGTTACTTCTCTCTAAATTCTTGGCTTTTTGAGGACCAACGCTTACTCAGATTTTTATCCATGGTGAAGTCAGTTCACGTCATGCTCAGGAAGTATATGTTGATTGAATGAAAAAGGAAGGAAAAGATAACCAGCTGATGGAAGCCTGTAGCACTTGGGGCTCCAGGCTCACCCCTCACACCCTTGTGCCACATTTCATCCAAACCCTGGAAATTGTGATCTCTCTCACTTCCTGCTGCAATTCACTGGCAGCCTTGGGACCACCCTGCCTTAGGCTGAGAAGTGAGAAATTCTGAAAGCAATCGAACACTGTAAATTTTCACAGCAGTTCAACGGAAAGCTGTTGGGCACAGATGTTTCTGTAATTGTGATATGCTGGGAACATTCTCCGGCTCTAAGCACTGAGGGCCTGAGTCTCATTCTTCCACCTGGGTGCCTCAGTGGCCAAATCTTACTATAGTGAAGCTGTAATGGGAACCAGGTGGCAGCATGTGCCTGTCTTAAAAGAGCTGAGTGAGATTCATGTCCCAGTGTCAGTCCCTCCTTCCTTCCTGCCCCAGCACATTCCTTGGGGAGCCAGTTTTCATGATGGCAGACCCCACTACTTACTTGAGCATGGGGTGATTCTTAGCTCCTTGTCCAAGATGGGAATGGAATCTCATGTTTGCTGGTGGGGGGAGCCACAGAGGCCTTCCAGTTGCTCTTTGATAGGCTGTAAGAAAAGAACTCGGGAAAGGCTTGGGTGGTATGAAAGAATATGGGTATTCTAACTGACCTTTGTGTGATCAGGGTTACTACCATCATTTAAAAATCCACCAAAGGATCTTGAAACTTGTGACTTACTCCTTTCAAGCTGAATTTTCTTTTTGGGTATGATATTCCTGCTTTTAGCAAGAGATAGCCCTCATTTGCTTCAGGGCTCTTCCTGCTTTGAAACTGGAGGGAGGCTGTGAATAGCACAGGGGAAACATCTGCCACTGTTTGAAATGCATACCACAAAACTGACAAAAGTTCAAGGAACTTGGAACAGTTTTCACAAATGTTTCCAGTTGGAGGACTTTAACCTGTGCCTACTGTAGCCAAAAGCGTAAAGAGGACAGAGGGTGAAGGATGCAGAACAGTAGAGCTGGCAAGAGGAAACAGTGTAGCAGCAGACATTTCTTGGGAGGATGCGTGCCATGGTCAGTGTTCCAGTCCTGGTGACTCAGACTGAGTGACCATCCTTGCACTGCAACTGTCAGTGTTGCCACATAACAAATGGTCTTCTACTTCTTTTCACAAGATATTTGCTGAACACAAGCTGATGAAAACCTGTTTTTATAAACCGTAGTATAACTTTTATGTCTCAATTTTATCTATGTACAACATCTATATAACTGTGAAACAAAGGAAATTTATACAATATTCACAAATCTACGAGATCCAAGAGGAGTATCTACTTCCAATTGTAGCTTCCATGCAGAACATGTTCTACATTAAAACATACATAGTTAGATCTTTCTTCTTGGTTCCCATTATTCACCATGTAGTTATTTTTAAAAAAGTTACTCAGCCTGTTGAATCTATAATCTCCAAATAGAAAAAATTCCAAAAAAATATTTTTCTTTTATAATTTATAATTTTTCTTTTAAAATATTTTCTTTGGAGTGTTTTTATTATATCAGTTGGCTCAGTGAGGGAACTGATAAAAGAAAACTAAAAGAAGCTTCCATAGGGGAAAAAACCCCAGATAAACTATTAGAAGTAATGAGAAAATTCAGTAAATTTGCCAGATCCCAGATCAACTTAAATATATTTAACATTATTTTCACCAGCTATAATAAACTATCAACTAAAAAACTTAAACAACAAAGACAATAACTTTTTTTGACAATAACTTTCGTAATATCAATAAAAACTATAAAGTATCTAGGAGTTACCTTAATAAGGCATACACAGATTTATATAAAAATGTTAAATTCTACTTGAGTATGTACAAGATGATTTATTTAAATGGATATACATTCCCAGTTTTTGTATGGAATGACTTAATATTATCAAGCTGTCTCCCCAAATTAACTTATAAATTCAATATAATTCCATTTAAAATTCTAGTGGGGTATTTTGAAGACCTTGATACAAACATTCTAAAACTTACATAGAAGAATTAAGGTCCTTGAATAGCTAGGTCAATCTTAAAAAATAGAGAAAAGAGATTTTTTTTGGCCTGATACTAAGATATATTACAACGTGTGATATTTATATAAAGAGACTAATAATCCAGTAGAACAGAATAGAGAACCCGGACACATATATCTACATCTGTATTTCCATGTCTAAATATCTATATTCATATCTATGTATATTTGTACCCACATCTGGGAAACTAATATTAAAGAAAACTGGCATAACAAGTCAATGGGATAGGAGAGATAAGTAGCTTAGTAGTTAGATTTGGAAAAACTGCCTCATAATATAAATTTTTTTGACAACATACAAAGGTAAACTTTAGGTGGATTAAAGTCTTAGATATTGAAGGAAATGCTATAACGTTAATGAAAGAAAATATAGGAGAATATTTTTGATGTCTGGAAAGAAAAATCACTTCTTCAATAAAACCTTTAAAATACAATGTATGAAATAAAAAAGAATTGATAAATTTGACTACATCAAATTTAAGAAAATCATAAGTAAAGCTAACAACAGTGTAAAAATTGGGATAATATTCTTGTAATGTTATTACAAGATATTAATATCTAGGACATAAAAACAACTCTTGTAAATTAATATGTGAAAGAGAGGAACCCCAGTAGAATAATGAGCCAAGGATATGTACAACCAATTTACTCAAGAAAAGATCCAAAAGGTCAGCAAATAGTCACCAAAACAGCATGGTACTGATAATAGAAGTAGATAAATAGACTAATGGAACAGAATAGAGGGCCCAGAAGTAAAGCCAAATACTTAACAACTGATTGATATTCCACAAAGCATACAAAAACATAAATTGGGAAAAGGACACCTCAGTCAATAAATGGTCCTGGGAAAACCAGATAGCCACATGTAGAAGAATGAAACTGGATCCCTATCTCTCAATATATACAGAAATCAACTCAGAATTGATTAAAGACTTAAATCTAAGACCTGAAACCATAAAAATTCTAGGAGAAAACCTAGAAGAAACTATTCTGAACGTTGGTTTAGGCAAAGAATTTATGACTAAGATCCCAAAAGCAAAGGCAACAAAAATGAAGATAAATTGGATCTAGTTAAACTAAAAAGCTTCTGCACAGCATGGCTGGCTCGGGCCTGTAATCCCAGCATTTTCAGAGGCTGACGCGGGTGAATCACTTGAAGCCAGGGATTCGAGACTAGCCTGGGAAACATGGTGAACCCCAATCTTTACTAAAATTACAAAAATTAGCCCAGTGTGGTGGTAGGCACCTGTAATCCCAGCTACTCAGGGGGCTGAGGCAGGAGAATCACTTGAACCCGGGAAGTGAACTTTGCAGTGAGCCAAGATCACACCCACTGTACTCCAGCCTGGGCGACAGAGCAAGACAAAAAAGTAGGCAAATAATGTGAATAGGTATTTCTCCAAAGAAAACATACATATGGCTAATAAACATATAAAAATGTTCAACATCACTAATCATCAGGGAAAGTAAATTAAAACCATAGGGAGATACCAGTTTACCCAAACCAGAATGGCCATTATTAAAAAGTCAGAAAACAATAGATATTTGTGTGGATGTGGTGAAAAGGGGATGCTTACACACTGCTGATGGGAACGTAAATTAGTACAATCTCAAAGAACTAAAAGTAGATCTGCCGTTCAATTCAGCAATCCCACTACTGAGCATCTATTCAAAGGAAGAGAAGTCATGATATCACAAAGACATGAGCATGCATATGTTTATCATAGCATAATTCACAATTGCAAAGATATGGAACCAACCTAAGTGCTCATCAACCGGTGAGCCAATAAAGAAAATGTTTTATATATATATGGTGGGATACTACTTGGCCATACAAAAGAACAAAATAATGTGTTTTGCAGCTACTTGATGGAACTAGAGGCCATTATTCCAAGTGAAGTAAGTCAGGAATAAAAAACCAACTACTGTATGTTCTCATTTACAAGTGGGAGATAAACGATGGGTACACAAAAGGCACACAGGGTGATATAATGGACATTGGAGAGTCAGAGGGAGGAGGGTGAGAGGGGCATGAGGGTTAAAAAAACTACATGCTGGATGCAATGTACACTACGTGGGTGATAAGTGCACTAAAATTTCAAACTTTACCACTATACAGTTCACCCACATAACCAAAAACTATTTGTACCCTGAAAGCTATTTAAATAAAAAATTTAAACATTTTATAATTTATACAAAGTTGAAAGGAAAAAATAATAAAAATGACAATAATTAAAAACTCAAAATTTACTATCTGCTATGCTAAAAAATAAAAAAGGCCAGCAAGTAAATGAAGAGATGCAATTTAACTGCAAGCTAAACAATAATAATGAAATATATTATTCTAGCTAAAATTATAAGATTTGATAATGTCAAGTGCTGAGGGGAGGTGCAGGCATATAAAATAACCCTCATACTTTGCTGGGTAAGGGTACCCTGATGCAGACATTCTGAAGAGCCATCTGGCAGTACTTGGTCAAATTAAGTATATACATACTCTATGATCCAGCATAAAAATGCTCTCACAGTTCCATAGGCCATATATACAAGGATGAGCATTGCAGCATTTTTTTTTTTTTGGTAAAAAAGGTTGGAGGCAACCTGATGTCCATCACTGGAAAAGTAGCCTCTCTAGGTTTTCCTTTACTTGCAGTTTGAAAATAGGAGTAGCTTTTTAAGTTTGATTAAACATTGACCTTGTGAACAATTCTAGGCAAAGAAAGTCCCTAGAAAGAAAAACTGGATATACTGATCATTTACATAAGATAGAGACTTAAATTGCTAATTTGAATGTTTAGAAGAAAAGTGACAGTGTTTTGGTGAGATGGGTAGTACCATTATACAACCAAACTCTAGTACTTCATTATACAATCTAGAGTACCCATTGTACCAGGCATTCTGCTAGATAACAGGATGGATTCAAGATGAATGAGAAGTGACCTTCTCCTGGAGATCATAATGAAACGGTTTTGTCAAGTTCCTTAGGGTTCATGATACAGGCATAAAACAATGATCTACTTGTGAAGTGAGAATGATTGTAGTGCACTAGTTATTGACCTGGAGTGCCTTCTCAGTAAAGGTTAGCATGGCCATAGATTCCACTGTGCAATTCCTATAGGCAAATCAACTACACCTCAGAAATAGTGCAGCCATAATTCACCAGTCACTTATTTAATTGTGATTATTGTGGAGCTTTGTGCTTTATACCCAGATATGCCTGGAAAGGTGGCATGGCCTTGCACTGCTAATGTCTGGCTATAGCCCTACATCAGAGCAATTTCTGAAAGAGCATCTCACACAATTTTCTTATCCCTCTGGTAAAGAAAGGCTTCACCTTGCAGGAACCTCTGTAATTCTCTTTTTCTCTGGTCTGTTTGCTCTCTCTTTGCCTGTCATAACTGTGTTTACGTACCACCCAACTCTTCTCATTAAAAATGACAGAGATAATGAGACTCTAATGAATCACTCTCTAAGCATCAAAGTCACAGTAATCAATTATAACTCTATGTCACTAGGACAATGATCTCTGTGAATTGGTGATCTTTACGTAAGCTTGTTAAGAGATCCATTAGGAGGGAGCGTGTACTCTCTCCCTCCTTTGATATATTATCCCAGCAAGAAGCAACTTGTGTTAACTCACGATGCTTTAAGCTGGGAGTCACAGATTGGCAATGGGGAGCAAAGCGAACCTCTAGGATTCAACAACTGCCTGGGAGAAGA
The DNA here is from genome assembly GCF_000001405.40 of Homo sapiens. NCBI lineage: Eukaryota > Metazoa > Chordata > Mammalia > Primates > Hominidae > Homo > Homo sapiens. Next base: position 19,314,493 of record NC_000002.12, on the reverse strand, counting down.
TATTAGACAAAGTGGAAAGGCATTTTCTCCCTCCACACTGTGGGAAAAGCTGAGATGTTTGCTGCTTCACTTTCTTTCTCTCCCCGAAGAATCTACTCTTGCATCTCATCCTGGCTCATCTCTTACAAGGGATGAGACAGACCTGGTAGCAGTGTTGGGGTGGACGCTGAGTCAGCTAGCTAGGATGGTGGTAAGTAGCCTAGAGCAGATGAAAGATTATGATCCTGGTCAAAGAAGAGATCCCAGTGGGGTTGGATTTAGGAGGTAAGTTCTCTAGGACTCAGACAAGTGAATGGGGTCAGTCAGCTATTTTGATTTTGGAAGTGATAAGAGAACACAGGACTTTGATCTAGAACAGGGAAGAGGTGTCCAGAACTTCCATTAGTGAAGTGGTGCTCTTACAGTGTAATGTGTGTGTCAGTTGGAAATGCAGAAATCACCCATCTTCTGTGTTGAGCAGGCTGGGAGCTGCAGACTGGAGCTGTTCCTATTCGGCCATCTTGGAACGCCCTGGAAGGTAATGTGTGTGTCAAGGCACAGGGTTGGGGTTGACACCGCCAAGCAGCAGCACCTTGGTGTGCACTCCTTTCTGCTGGGTCTGCTGTAGAGTGTGGCATGGGTACTACCGTCTCCCCTTCTCTGGAAGACCTCAATGCGTACTTTTGGGAGGAAGGTACTGTAGGGTATTTCTGCAGCAATCTGCACTCAGAGGAATCCCCAGAGTGATCACTAGGGTACAAAGGTCCTCCTCGGGCTTCCAGGGTGTGTTGATAGCTCTTCCTGGTCTTTGTGACCTTCACCTCCACCTCCTCTGATTCTTTATTTGAACTCTATTTTGTCCCCTGTATCAATCCCCACGGAGGCAGGTAAAAACAAGTAAATCCTGCTGTTTCCTCCCTCTACCTCCCCATGTGATGAAGACCTATTCTTGGAGACGCTTCCAAATCTGGATCAGGCTCCCCAGAGATAATCACTGGGCTTCTGTGTCCCCCTCCCTCTGGTCAGTGCTGTTCCATCCGTGGTCCTACTTGCAGAATGCCTAAATGGTCAGGCCTACCCACACTGCATCCCATTTAATATATGAAACAATCTAGTGAAAGAAAATTAGCATCTTTATTTTAGAGATGAGAACGCTAAGGCTCAGACATATTAAATAACTTGCCCAAGGTCACACAGCTAGTAAATGACACATCTGAGGTTTTGTCTTGAGCTCATCAGACTCTAAATTGTTTTGCTTCTTTCTATTACTCTTAAGCTACTTGATGGTATGGGTTGGGGATTTTCTTTCTTCTTAACTGTTGGGTTGTTCACCAGTTCCCCACCAGGGGCCTCTTTGGCTGTTGTCTTCTCTGTATAGAAAGAAACTTATGACAGGCCAACTGGCCAGTGCTTCCAGCCTATGCCAGTCTGTGACTCAAGTGGCAAATATCAGATGTTCTTAGTTGGGGATTTTTAAACCAAAGGCATCTCTCTTTTAGTGGTTGTGTAAATTTGATTTGTTCTTCAATATATTTGTTCATTTTTTTGTAGATTTCAAAATAAAGCCTTTCCTACCATTGCTGTCTAAGTTATTCTCATTGCAAAGCAATTAGTTGAAAAGAACCATTATCATTTACAAAACCTTGTTTATGTGACCAGGATTTTTACAAAGCCTTTGAAACTATAGAATCCAAACAAAATACTAAAATAAGTGGGATGCTGAGGGTGACATAAAGCTGTGGCTGTCATCTTTGATTACACATTTTTATGTTAATAAAGTTAATCATTCTTATCAATTGTCTTTATAATTGGTAAATATACCTAATTTATTAATAAAAATGGATTTTAAAAATCTAGGTGTTAGGGTTTCATATATGCTTTTATTTGTAAAAAGAGTTCATCTACTTTTGAACTTAAAAATGTTTGCAGAACACTGCATAGACAATCACTCTGAAAGTCCTTGTTCCCACTTCACCTTTGCTATTCCCACTTCTGTTGACCCTACCTGCTGTTCATGCTCCAGTCTTCATAGCTTGACTTTGATTTCTTGGATTTGGAAATTGTTGTTGTTGTTGTTTGTTTGCTTATTTGTTTTTTGAAGCAGGGTTCTCTGTTGTCCAGGCTGGAGTGCAGTGAATACAGCAATCAAGGTTCACTGTAGCCTCGACCTCCTGGGCTCAATTGATCCTCTTGCCTCAGCCACCCCAGTAGCTGTGACTACAGGCACACACCACCATGCCTGGCTAATTTTTTAATTTTGGAAATGTTTTGGATTCCTTTCTTACTACTTTGGATTTTGCATGAGGCTTTCAGCTTGACAAATACCAGCATCTGCTATTTTCTGAAGTCAAGGCTTACTTCATCAGCCCAGCCCAGTAGAAGCAATTTCTTCTGAGGCTGAACCTGCAAATGAATCCTGAGCTAGACCCCTACTTGGGTGGTGTGCACTAGTCTAACTCTCCCTTGATAACTCTCTAAGGGGACCATCTGGGGGCCCCAGAGATAAGTGCCTGAAGTTTATATTGTTCTTGCTTACATGCGGCAAGTCTGCACACATGCTGAGAAGCAAGCTTCTTGGCAATGGCACCCGCTGCCCAATTATTTTTGGGGCCATTTAAAACACTAAACATTGCACTTATCTTTTTTGTTTTGTTTTGTTTTTTATTATACTTTAAGTTTTAGGGTACATGTGCACATTGTGCAGGTTAGTTACATATGTATACATGTGCCATGTTGGTGCGCTGCACCCACTAACTCATCATCTAGCATTAGGTATATCTCCCAATGCTATCCCTCCCCCCTCCCCCCACCCCACCACAGTCCCCAGAGTGTGATATTCCCCTTCCTGTGTCCATGTGATCTCATTGTTCAATTCCCACCTATGAGTGAGAATATGCGGTGTTCGGATTTTTGTTCTTGCGATAGTTTACTGAGAATGATGATTTCCAATTTCATCCATGTCCCTACAAAGGACATGAACTCATCATTTTTTATGGCTGCATAGTATTCCATGGTGTATATGTGCCACATTTTCTTAATCCAGTCTATCATTGTTGGGCATTTGGGTTGGTTCCAAGTCTTTGCTATTGTGAATAATGCCGCAATAAACATACGGGTGCATGTGTCTTTATAGCAGCATGATTTATAGTCCTTTGGGTATATACCCAGTAATGGGATGGCTGGGTCAAATGGTATTTCTAGTTCTAGATCTCTGAGGAATAGCCACACTGACTTCCACAATGGTTGAACTAGTTTACAGTCCCACCAACAGTGTAAAAGTGTTCCTATTTCTCCACATCCTCTCCAGCACCTGTTGTTTCCTGACTTTTTAATGATTGCCATTCTAACTGGTGTGAGATGGGATCTCATTGTGGTTTTGATTTGCATTTCTCTGATGGCCAGTGATGATGAGCATATTTTCATTGTTTTTTGGCTGCATAAATGTCTTCTTTTAGAAGTGTCTGTTCATGTCCTTTGCCCACTTTTTGATGGGGTTGTTTTTTTCTTGTAAATCTGTTTGAGTTCATTGTAGATTCTGGATATTAGCCCTTTGTCAGATGAGTAGGTTGCGAAAATTTTCTCCCATTTTGTAGGTTGCCTGTTCACTCTGATGGTAGTGTCTTTTGCTGTGCAGAAGCTCTTTAGTTTAATTAGATCCCATTTGTCAATTTTGTATTTTGTTGCCACTGCTTTTGGTGTTTTAGACATGAGGTCCTTGCCCATGCCTATGTCCTGAATGGTAATGCCTAGGTTTTCTTCTAGGGTTTTTATGGTTTTAGGTCTAACGTTTAAGTCTTTACTCCATCTTGAATTGATTTTTGTATAAGGTGTAAGGAAGGGATCCAGTTTCAGCTTTCTACATATGGCTAGCCAGTTTTCCCAGCACCATTTATTAAATAGGGAATCCTTTCCCCATTGCTTGTTTTTCTCAGGTTTGTCAAAGATCAGATAGTTGTAGATATGCGGCGTTATTTCTGAGGGCTCTGTTCTGTTCCATTGATCTATATCTCTGTTTTGGTACCAGTACCATGCTGTTTTGGTTACTGTAGCCTTGTAGTATAGTTTGAAGTCAGGTAGTGTGATGCCTCCAGCTTTGTTCTTTTGGCTTAGGATTGACTTGGTGATGCAGGCTCTTTTTTGGTTCCATATGAACTTTAAAGTAGTTTTTTCCAATTCTGTGAAGAAAGGCATTGGTAGCTTGATGGGGATGGCATTGAATCTGTAAATTACCTTGGGCAGTATGGCCATTTTCACGATATTGATTCTTCCTACCCATGAGCATGGAATGTTCTTCCGTTTGTTTGTATCCTCTTTTATTTCCTTGAGCAGTGGTTTGTAGTTCTCCTTGAAGAGGTCCTTCACATCCCTTGTAAGTTGGATTCCTAGGTATTTTATTCTCTTTGAAGCAATTGTGAATGGGAGTTCACTCATGATTTGGCTCTCTGTTTGTCTGTTGTTGGTGTATAAGAATGCTTTTGATTTTTGTACCTTGATTTTGTATCCTGAGACTTTGCTAAAGTTGCTTATCAGCTTAAGGAGATTTTGGGCTGAGACAATGGGGTTTTCTAGATATACAATCATATCATCCGCAAACAGGGACAATTTGACTTCCTCTTTTCCTAATTGAATACCCTTTATTTCCTTCTCCTGCCTAATTGCCCTGGCCAGAACTTCCAACACTATGTTGAATAGGAGTGGTGAGAGAGGGCATCCCTGTCTTGTGCCAGTTTTCAAAGGGAATGCTTCCAGTTTTTGCCCATTCAGTATGATATTGGCTGTGGGTTTGTCATAGATAGCTCTTATTACTTTGAAATACGTCCCATCAATACCTAATTTATTGAGAGTTTTTAGCATGAAGGGTTGTTGAATTTTGTCAAAGGCTTTTTCTGCATCTATTGAGATAATCATGTGGTTTTTGTCTTTGGCTCTGTTTATATGCTGGATTACATTTATTGATTTGCGTATATTGAACCAGCCTTGCATCCCAGGGATGAAGCCCACTTGATCATGGTGGATAAGCTTTTTGATGTGCTGCTGGATTTGTTTTGCCAGTATTTTATTGAGGATTTTTGCATCGATGTTCATCAAGGATATTGGTCTAAAATTCTCTTTTTTGCTTGTGTCTCTGCCCGGCTTTGGTATCAGAATGATGCTGGCCTCATAAAATGAGTTAGGGAGGATTCCCTATTTTTCTATTGATTTGAATAGTTTCAGAAGGAATGGTACCAGTTCCTCCTTATACCTCTGGTAGAATTCGGCTGTGAATCCATCTGGTCCTGGACTCTTTTTGGTTGGTAAACTATTGATTGTTGCCACAATTTCAGACCCTGTTATTGGTCTATTCAGAGATTCAACTTCTTCCTGGTTTAGTCTTGGGAGGGTGTATGTGTCGAGGAATTTATCCATTTCTGCTAGATTTTCTAGTTTATTTGTGTAGAGGTGTTTGTAGTATTCTCTGATGGTAGTTTGTATTTCTGTGGGATCGGTGGTGATATCCCCTTTATCATTTTTTATTGTGTCTATTTGATTCTTCTCTCTTTTTTTTCTTTATTAGTCTTGCTAGCGGTCTATCAATTTTGTTGATCCTTTCAAAAAACCAGCTCCTGGATTCATTAATTTTTTGAAGGGTTTTTTGTGTCTCTATTTCCTTCAGTTCTGGTCTGATTTTAGTTATTTCTTGCCTTCTGCTAGCTTTTGAATGTGTTTGCTCTTGCTTTTCTAGTTCTTTTAATTGTGATGTTAGGGTGTCACTTTTGGATCATTCCTGCTTTCTCTTGTGGGCATTTAGTGCTATAAATTTCTCTCTACACACTGCTTTGAATGCATCCCAGAGATTCTGGTATGTTGTGTCTTTGTTCTCGTTGGTTTCAAAGAACATCTTTATTCATGCCTTCATTTCGTTATGTACCCAGTAGTCATTCAGGAGCAGGTTGTTCAGTTTCCATGTAGTTGAGCGGTTTTGAGTGAGATTCTTAATCCTGAGTTCTAGTTTCATTGCACTGTGGTCTGAGAGATAGTTTGTTATAATCTCTGTTCTTTTACATTTGCTGAGGAGTGCTTTATTTCCAACTATGTGGTCAATTTTGGAATAGGTGTGGTGTGGTGCTGAAAAAAATGTATATTCTGTTGATTTGGGGTGGAGAGTTCTGTAGATGTCTATTAGGTCCGCTTGGTGCAGAGCTGAGTTCAATTCCTGGGTATCCTTGTTGACTTTCTGTCTCATTGATCTGTCTAATGTTGACAGTGCGGTGTTAAAGTCTCCCATTATTAATTTGTGGGAGTCTAAGTCTCTATGTAGGTCACTCAGGACTTGCTTTATGAATCTGGGTGCTCCTGTATTGGGTGCATATATATTTAGGATAGTTAGCTCTTGTTGTTGAATTGATCCCTTTCCCATTATGTAATGGCCTTCTTTGTCTCTTTTGATCTTTGTTGGTTTAAAGTCTATTTTATCAGAGACTAGGATTGCAACCCCTGCCTTTTTTTGTTTTCCATTTGCTTGGTAGATCTTCCTCCATCCTTTTATTTTGAGCCTATGTGTGTCTCTGCACGTGAGATGGGTTTCCTGAATACAGCACACTGATAGGTCATGACTCTTTATCCAATTTGCCAGTCTGTGTCTTTTAATTGGAGCATTTAGTCCATTTACATTTAAAGTTAATATTGTTATGTGTGAATTTGATCCTGTCATTATGATGTTAGCTGGTTATTTTGCTTGTTAGTTGATGCAGTTTCTTCCTAGTCTCGATGGTCTTTACATTTTGGCATGATTTTGCAGCGGCTGGTACCGGTTGTTCCTTTCCATGTTTAGCGCTTCCTTCAGGAGCTCTTTTATGGCAGGCCTGGTGGTGACAAAATCTGTCAGCATTTGCTTGTCTGTAAAGGATTTTATTTCTCCTTCACTTATGAAGCTTAGTTTGGCTGGATATGAAATTCTGGGTTGAAAATTCTTTTCTTTAAGAATGTTGAATATTGGCCCCCACTCTCTTCTGGCTTGTAGGATTTCTGCCGAGAGATCCGCTGTTAGTCTGATGGGCTTCCCTTTGAGGGTAACCCGACCTTTCTCTCTGGCTGCCCTTAACATTTTTTCCTTCATTTCTACTTTGGTGAATCTGACAATTATGTGTCTTGGAGTTGCTCTTCTCGAGGAGTATCTTTGTGGCGTTCTCTGTATTTCCTGAATCTGAACGTTGGCCTGCCTTGCTAGATTGGGGAAGTTCTCCTGGATAATATCCTGCAGAGTGTTTTCCAACTTGGTTCCATTCTCCCCGTCACTTTCAGGTACACCAATCAGACGTAGATTTGGTCTTTTCACATAGTCCCATATTTCTTGGAGGCTTTGCTCATTTCTTTTTATTCTTTTGTCTCTAAACTTCCCTTCTCGCTTCATTTCATTCATTTCATCTTCCATTGCTGATACCCTTTCTTCCAGTTGATCGCATCGGCTCCTGAGGCTTCTGCATTCTTCATGTAGTTCTCGAGCCTTGGTTTTCAGCTCCATCAGCTCCTTTAAGCACTTCTCTGTATTGGTTATTCTAGTTATACATTCTTCTAAATTTTTTTCAAAGTTTTCAACTTATTTGCATTTGGTCTGAATGTCCTCCCGTAGCTCAGAGTATTTGATCGTCTGAAGCCTTCTTCTCTCAGCTCATCAAAGTCATTCTCCATCCAGCTTTGTTCCGTTGCTGGTGAGGAACTGCGTTCCTTTGGAGGAGGAGAGGCGCTCTGCATTTTAGAGTTTCCAGTTTTTCTGTTCTGTTTTTTCCCCATCTTTGTGGTTTTATCTACTTTTGGTCTTTGATGATGGTGATGTACAGATGGGTTTTTGGTGTGGATGTTCTTTCTGTTTGTTAGTTTTCCTTCTAACAGTCAGGACCCTCAGCTGCAGGTCTGTTGGAATACCCTGCCGTGTGAGGTGTCAGTGTGCCCCTGCTGGGGGGTGCCTCCCAGTTAGGCTGCTCGGGGGTCAGGGGTCAGGGATCCACTTGAGGAGGCAGTCTGCCCGTTCTCAGATCTCCAGCTGTGTGCTGGGAGAACCACTGCTCTCTTCAAAGCTGTCAGACAGGGACATTTAAGTCTGCAGAGGTTACTGCTGTCTTTTTGTTTGTCTGTGCCCTGCCCCCAGAGGTGGAGCCTACAGAGGCAGGCAGGCCTCCTTGAGCTGTGGTGGGCTCCACCCAGTTCGAGCTTCCTGGCTGCTTTGTTTACCTAAGCAAGCCTGAGCAATGGCGGGTGCCCCTCCCCCAGCCTTGCTGCCGCCTTGCAGTTTGATCTCAGACTGCTGTGCTAGCAATCATCGAGACTCCGTGGGCGTAGGACCCTCCGAGCCAGGTGCGGGTTATAATCTCGTGGTGCACCGTTTTTTAAGCCCGTCGGAAAAGCGCAGTATTCGGGTGGGAGTGACCGGATTTTCCAGGTGCGTCCGTCACCCCTTTCTTTGACTCGGAAAGGGAACTTCCTGACCCCTTGCGCTTCCCAAGTGAGGCAATGCCTCGCCCTGCTTCGGCTCGCGCACGGTGCGCGCACCCACTGACCTGCGCCCACTGTCTGGCACTCCCTAGTGAGATGAACCCGGTACCTCAGATGGAAATGCAGAAATCACCCGTCTTCTGCGTTGCTGACGCTGGGAGCTGTAGACCGGAGCTGTTCCTATTCGGCCATCTTGGCTCCTCCCCTGCACTTTTCAAATAAGGTAACATTGGAGGAAACACAGAGTTCATGACTCTATGCCATGCACTGTGCTAGGTGGTTTCTCATGCACTTTCTCTCTTTCTCTCTCTCTCTTTTTTTTTTTTTTTTGCTTTTGGCTTTAACTAAGTGGAATAAACAAAACAAAGAATCCATTAGAGAGCACTTGTGAGATGGGACAGGAAAAGTTTGCTTTTATAAGGGAAGAGGTAAAGGGAAGTATTTGCCACCAGGGCAGGGATTTATTTACTCTGCTAGTGGTTCTCAGATTACACCCAAGGGGTCTGATGCCTTTGCAAGGCCCTGCAGGATTCTGTGTACATGGGTGGGACCCTTGGCACTTTGAACAGAGCCAGGGGGATGATTTCTATAAATGTTTAGGGCACTCTCATTTGTGAAAGAAGAAACAACATGAGAAGGCATAATCTCTGTCAAGTCATAAGCTCGCAGGCTGGCTAGGAAGAAAAGGAATGATATGTAAAAGATTAAGGGTATTAGACAGCATATGGCTGTGCGTGGCACAAACATTCAGGGCCCAGGAGAATTGGTAGTTTCTACAAGCTGGGGGTCCAGGAAGCCATTTGGAACACTAGGGCTGGCCTAGGCCATGGGTAAAGGGGTGCATCTTCATGTCCTCGCCCTTTTGCAGTTTTTCCATGTCTTGTGTGCAGTCCTTGTTCCACAGTGCTTTCTGCTTTGGTTACAAGGAGCAGATTCACCCATGCTACTCTAATGTGAGCGTGGGCATAGGGGATAGCATGAGGGTTTATTGTAAGAAATCGAGGAGGCAATAAAGGCAATGGAGAGCTCATAGTATTTAACCATTCTGTGACTCAATGTCTTCTATAAATGGGACTAATAATAGTACCCACTCATCGGTTTTTTTGTTAAAAAAAAAATCTTTGTACAGTGCCTAGCTCAGTTGGTGGTGCATAGTAGGTCTTTAATAATGGAATTTTTATTATGACTAATACTTTTTGGTTCTTCGTAAGTTTTGCTTGCTGTGGGCCCCCATAGCTTCAACTCTATTTTTACTCAATGGCTCTCTTGACTCCAGGGTTTTCAAACTTCTTTCAGTTTTACTTCTTGTTGCCCCCTGCCTGATATTCATTTTGTATCTGAACAACATTCTTAACAGAATCCCCTAAGTGTCTTAGCTCATGTTTTTGGGTGGGACCATGCCATATGCGACTAGTCATTTTATTAGCAGGTTTTCAGTGAATGTGTGCTATCTTCTGGCCCAATCATTACAGCCTATTGTCAGGAAAAAAAATACTTATAAGGGGATGTGGACATGGTCCATTGGGTGGATGGATCTTGGTGTTGTGATGTTTACCTCTCATAGCCTGATTAGCACAGACATTTGCCCAGTTCAGATCTACACACAATCTCACATTCTAGGTGCTAAGAGGACATATAGACAAGAAATATGTGGCCAGGGGCAGTGACTCACACCTGTAATCCCAGCACTTTGGGAGGCTGAATGAAGCAGGTGGATCACCTGAGGTCAGAAGTTCGAGACCAGCCTGGCAAACATGGTGAAACCCTGTCTCTAGTATAAATACAAAAATTAGTATAAATACAAAAACTAGTGGCCGGTGCCTGTAATCCCAGCTACTCAGGAGGCTGAGGCAGGAGAATCGCTTGAACCCCGAGACTCCGTCTAAAATATATATGCATGTGTATGTGTGTGTGTGTGTGTGTGGGTGTGTGTGTATGTGTGTGTTCCTTGTGAGACCTCTCTATCAGGGAGTGGTTTGGGGATGGAGAAACAAAGTCCCCAGAGGACTGTAACATAGGTTAGCTTCTGAGGGCGGAGTGAGGGGACAGTGAGGGGGCAGAGGTGGCCTTAAATGTTAGTAATAGGTTCATGGACTAAAAGATACTGGCAGAGGGCTTTAGGTTTCTTGCAGGAAAATGTGAGTGCATGTACCAGATTCTTTGCTAAATGTTTATAATATTCCTTACAATATGCCTATGAATTAAATATTAATATTAGGCATATGAAGGAATGGATGCTCAGAAAGGTTAAATGACTTGCCATAGGTCACACAGTACTAATAAATGGGGAAAGAATGATTCAGAGAAAGGCAAGAAGATCCACAATGATAGCAAGGGAACAAAGAGAAAAAGATGTGTGAAGCCTACTCCATCCAGCAAGGCCCTCCTGTCTGCTTGGCTGGCCCCAGCCTGCCTGCTGAGCAGTGTTGGGGAAAGACTGAAAGATGTGTTGCAAAGACTGTGGAGGATTCTGAACCCTTGAGTAGATTAGGGTTGGGACTAGGGTTTCAGTGACAGCCTTGACACAGGGCTGCACATGTCATGGTTCAGCCAGTGCTTATTGAAGTGGAAAGGGATTTGGCTGCCAGGCGGAGTTGGCGTTGGGGCAGGTTTCCTGGATGCCATCTAGGGCACTAAGCCTTGTTCCTACCCCATTTCCTCTTCAGCTCCCACCTCACTCAGACTCCAGAGCCATCTCCTAAAATCTATTTCTCCTTATGTGACTTTGGAGGACTCTTCCCCCAAAGGCTCCCAAGCGCTCTGAGGATAAAGGTCAAGCTCATTGGCATAACATTAAATAAATTTCCAATCTAAGCTCACCCATGTCCTTGTACCCTCCTTAATGTTCCCTAAGCCAAGCCACATTGAAGTACTTGCCCTTTCCCAAACAGGACTCATGAGATTTACAGGCCATCAGCCATGCTCTGCCTGGGATGCTATGTAATATTAGCTAGTGCTGTTGGCTAAGCCTACAACAACTCTGTCAAACAGGCTCTATTATTTCCATTTTATAGCCAAGAAAACTGAGGCTCATAGAGAGGTTCTAGTGCTTATCTAGGATCACAGAACTAGTAGGATCAGAGGAGGGTTTCAACCCAGGCAGCTCAACTCCAGGCATGTACTCTCAACCACCGTCCTATGTGGGTTCCCTCTTCTGTTTTTTCACTGAGTGACTTGCTTATTCAGTCAGGTGCCTCTTCTATGACATTTTTCCTGATTATTCTCCTGTACTCCCAAGCCACTTGGTCAGATGCGTGACTCTACAAGGCTTCGCTGAATTGTATGATAGCATCTAGTACCTCTTATTAGAATGTGTTTTATAGAGCCCTGCTATGGACTGGATGTTTTTATTCCCTGAAAAATTCATATATTGAAGCCTCAGCCTTTGGCATATCTGTATTTGGAGTTAGGGCCTTTATGGAGGTAATTAAGGTTGGAAAGCTGAGACCCTGATTCAATAGAATTTGTGTCCTTATAAGATGAGACCTGAGAGAGCTCATGGTCTCTTCCCCTTGTGAGCATTAGTGGTCATCTCCAAATCAGGAAGTGAATCCTCACTAGAACCTGACCCTGCAGGACCTGGATCTGATACTTCCTAGCCTCAAGAACTGTGAGGAAATAAATGGCTGTTTTTTAAGCCACCCAGTCTATGGTATTTTGTCATAGCAGACTAATGCAATCTTTTTCCTTAAATGGATCTCTCTTCTGGAATGTGAGCTGCTAATTGGCAGATATCTTCTCTGTCAATGGGTCTGTATTTTCAACATCCAGCATGGTGCTTGCTGGTCTGACACCCAGTATGCAGAAATCATCCAGGAAGAGTTCGTCAAATTGTGCTGTATCACACCCTCACTATGTGGGTCCCAGGATCCCACAGCTACTAGTTGACCCAGAGCACACTCTCTTCCTCTCTTGCCTATGTTCACCTGTGCTCTGGGCCCCCTGGAAGACTGTGTAGGTGGACCTGTCTTTTCCACATATAGCTTCCACTGACTGCTGATTTACTAGCTTCTTGTGGAGGGCTTGGCTGCCTGCTGTCTCCTCTGGCTCTTGTAAAGTGGCCCCCTCCCCTTCTCTGTGAGCCAGCAGCCACCCCACTGGTTGCCTGGGCTGAATTTATGGCAAGGATTCATCAGATTAGGAGGAATGCGACATGGTCCTTCTTCCACTGTGTGCAGAATGCCGTCAAACAGCATTGCGGGCCCCTCTGCCTGCTGAGCAAGCCCACGTGGTAATGCTTGGCATTTTCTGACTTGAGAAGTCATTTGGAAGCATTTGATTTGACAAGAAATAACTTAAAATTGTTTTGGAGCTGAATGTAAATTTAACTCTTTCAGGTGCCACTTAGGCTCATGGTTACCTCCTGCCAGGCATTGGAAGCTCCAAGTAGTGCCATTTTACAACAATTTGCTCTTTATTAGGAACTACATGCAGCCTTGGACTTTAGCCCAACCTCCACTTCCTTTTCTAAAAATGGAATATTCTCCACCAATCCCGAAAACCACTCATCTCCTCTCTACTAAGGTTGAGGGTTGGTGAGAGGAGCTCACAGCTGTCCTCTAGTCATCCTCTTTCATTATTCGGCTGTGTTGCATCATAGAAAATTCTTCTGAACTTGAAAAGCTTTTATCTCTCTCTGGCTTTTGTACCCACTGGCATTACTTTTGCCATCTTGGGAAACAACTAAAGCAATGAAAGATCTGCTCTATCTTTTGCAAGTAGCTTTTCACTTATTTGAAGAGAGCAAAGAGTTTCATTCATCAAACATTCATCAAAACGCTGCTCTTCATGTAGAGATGAGCATGGGGCTACAGTGTGATTTTACAGTTGTATACTACACAACTCCAGGGAGCCCCATTCACAGAAACCATCACTTGCACAATCATATGAGGCTGCACCACATAAGCACTACATAGCTTTTCCCCTTGAGGCACATACAGATTACTCAGAGATCTTCTGAGTCTTTTGCCCAGCTAGAATATCTTGGCTCTCTTCTGTCTTAGACATGGCTTTGAGTGTAACTCACCATCTTGTTCGTCCTTCCCTGAGTATGTTCTCATTTCTCATGGTCCTTCTGCATGTGTGGGATCTTCAAGCACAGTCTGACCATCAGAGTGACTTAGAGCTATCATCCCCAATCTGGAGTTTGAACTGCTGTTAAAGCCCTCAGAAAGAACTATTTGCTATGTCTTGCTTTGGTGAGTGATTTTCTAGAGATCAACATGACATGGAGACCATTAGCATGGATTAAAGAAAAGAGATACCCACCTTTCAACTACATCTGACATGGGTTAAGGGATAGACTTATTAATCCTTCTGCTATATCCAGCATAACATGTCATTCAGAATTAAAATGATCCATTTATATTTGTGTCCCTTATTAGATTCTAAGCTTCTTTAACAGAGGGGCTGCGTCTTCTTTTCATGGATGTTCAGAGACAACAAAGGGTTGGGCTCAGGGAGCTGCTTGGTAAATGTGAAGTGAATGACATGTATTATGTTCATGCCTTCCATGTACTTGGAGTGGAGATGCCATCATGAAGAAAACATGGCAACTGCTCTTATAAAGACTTTGATTTCTCATGACATAATCAGTGAATGCCTAACTGGTAAGTTTTGAGAAGTTGATTTAGGGGGAGGCAGTGCTCCGGAGTGGTGCTTACTATCTCATGGGCTTTCCTTTGCCTGTGTGGAAGAGTGTGGCCAACCGGCAGAGTGAGGGTCTTTCTGGATCTCAACAATGGTGTGCAATTAGAGAAGAAGGACTTGTAGCTGTTTCTGGAAAGGCTAGATTTTTAGGGATTTCTTGTGGCACTAAGAGGAAAAGGTTTTGCAGGACTCAGTTGTCCATTAAGCCCCAGTTTTCCTGTGGGCACAATCATCGGTTTCTTGCAGGTGAAAAGGCCTGTGGGGGTGACAAAAACGTACGATTGGATTTTCTTGGAGATCACAAAGCCTTCACCAGGTCACCTGCTCAAAGATACAAGTATTGGCATCTACTTGAAACAATGAGAGACATTATTTGAAAACATCTTAATTAAAAAATAAGATGGGAAAAAACATGGAGAGTGAGGCTTTCCAGAGAGGGTAGGAAGAGAGGAAGGATAAGCTCTTAAGCAAAAAAGCATATCACTTTTGCCTGTGTGCCCTTTTTGGAAAAGGCTGACCAAGTCACTGGATTCTGGAAGTGCTTTTCTGATTACTCTGTGTCACTTATAAGATATAACAGCTCTCCCTCTTCCATTCCAGTTAATTCCTTCCTGGTGCTCCAGAAGGCAGCAGAGCCAGGCCTTGACTTCAGCACTCCTGACCCCCTGTCCTGTACTATTCCACAGCAACACATGGGGCTGCATTTTTCATTGGTTCACTGGTGTATGTGTTGTGATTTTTATATAGCTCTGGTCTGACATTCCTAACAACTGGGCTGAAGGAAAGCCACTAGGCTTAACTTTAGTTTAAGCCAATAAAACAGTGCAACTTCAACTCTTGGTATACTGTCTCTCCATAGCTTCTATTCTCTGCCTTTTTGTTTTGTTCCAGAATGTCTCTAACCCATTTTTGTGGTATTTTTAAAAGTTAGCTTGAGGTTGAATTCATAACAATATTTGGAAACTACCTTAATTTTATAATTAAAGATTAAGTGATTCATCCAACCTCCTCTTTCTCTTCCCACAAATACTCTGGCAGCGAAACAAATCTCTACTATTAAGTGGTATTTATTTAATTGTGATTTTCTGTAGAGCTGTTTAAGAGCAGGTCATTAGGTTAAAACCATTGCGCTTGTCTTGGGAGCGGAGGATGTCCTGTGCTGACTTACGTTTGGGTGTGCTTTTCCTGACGCTGAGCTAACACAGCCGTGTTTACATTACACACATTCTCAAGTTGCTGACATTTTTTTTTTGTTCCTCCAGAAGAAAAAAGATGCAACACGGACAAATGATTCTATTTGATGTGATAGGTCAGGTCAAACTGGACCAATGGCTGACACTTTCTACTTGGATTAACTACATTGTGTTCCCATTCTTTCCAATTATCCTCAGTCCTAATCAAAGTTGAAGAAGAAACCAGTAATATCAGAAGATCTGATTTTTAAAAAAATCTTTCCCAGCAGTCTTTTAAGCTGGCTAGAGTTTTGAAGGGCTAAGAAACCAATGGACTCCTTGAACGCTAAGAACACCACCTGAGTCCTTGGTTGTCTCCAAATGGGTAGGAGTTTGGAAACCCACACCAAACTTTTTTGAAATGTCAAAATAAGGCAGGACTTACATGCAATCAATACAGACATAAAGGATAACGCAAGGCTCATCACAAATCCCCCCTTCAGAGCTTTTCCTGAAATAATTTTTCCATAGTCTCCTATCTCTTTCTCATTCAGAGCCTTCTTGGGTTTTCATTTTTTTTGGAAAAAATGTGAGAAATGTTGCCATATTTCCTAAGAGGAAGTGAGAAAGATAGATGGTCTCTGCCCCAGCAGGACACCTGGATAACAGTGTTATCTAGAGCCAAAATGGGCTTACATATGCCTGCCTGTTTATTTGTTCTCCTTCTGTTTGGAGACTTTCCCTGATTAATTACTTTCTAGTAATCGAGGCTGCTAACTAATGTCTCATCTGATTAACCTGTAGTTTGGCCCTTAGTCCCAGAGGGTGGGCTGGCCATCCTGCCTGGGGAATGAAGGAGGTCATTGGCCAGGGGCCTCTGGGATGCCAGTTTTGGGCTCGTTTATTTGCTTTAAGTCTTGTTTGCTATTCCTGCTGCAGTGACTGGCGACAGCTTCCCCCAAGTCCCATCCAATCTAATTGGCCTGCTGAAACAGCAGTGAACACAAGATTTAAGAAATGTTTTCTTTGAAAACTTCTGGTCCGACAGACACTTTGAGCTCATATTTCACCCTGTTTCAATTGCACATCATTCCCTGGGACTTTCAGGAGAAATATTGTAAGTGAGTCTTACAGGAGAACTGCTGCTTTGTGGTTTGGGGGTGGGAGTCGGGGGCTGATATGCTAAGGGCTGGAGGGGAGGCTGTGCTAAGGCAGCCCAGCATCTTCAGAATCTAGAGACCATGCCAACGTTAACACATCCGAGGAGGTATTCAGTATCAAAGTCTCCAATATTTGGCTCCATAAACACGATACCGGTTGCAAAAACAAAGCTAAGGAGCTCATGCTGATTACTTCAATAAAAGCTGCTTAATTATGAACGTTTGGGAAATGAAGTTACCAACAGGACCAGGAGTGCTCCAGGGTCCCAGCGTTCCTGCCTCCAGCATCCCACTGTTAAGCCAGATTGTCCACTCAGCTGAAAAGCCTGACATTGAGCAGGTCATGGCCCCAGCCCCGCAGGAGACTACTCCATTGCCAGGGATGCTCCCTCCTACTGAAGTGGCAATGTTCGGGAACTGATTAGTGGTAAACTATCAGACTTTATCAGCACCATTTGCAGGCCATCCAAGGGTTACTTGGGGTGGTGACCACAGCTCCCACAAAACCTGCATTTGGGAAGCCAATTGTTTCTAGGTAGCTAGCTGACCTGTTTCTCCCCAGAAGTCAGGATACCAAGACTAAGCAAAGTGGAACTGAATTCTGAGCAGGGAGCCAGTGGATCTGATTATGACAATAGCATTTTTGGAGTCCTTAAATGAGTTTCTCTTAATAACAGTTTAGGAAACATAATCTTATATTGCTTCTGTATAAGTCTTCCCTCTCTTGTGTGGTTATAGCGAGTTATTTTACATTGAATGGAATAGGTGGCGCTATCCATGTAACAGTTTAATTAACAAAAATCAGGGTTGAATTTGTGTATATGAGAAAAGAAATATAAGGATATGCACATTGTTAAGGGGTGAGCTTTTTAGCATAGTGGGTTTCTTTATATATTGATGATTTTTTCTCTGAGAATCAAAAATTTTTATAGTTTTGGTAGAAATCTTTAAACCTTACTCTTATTTATCAGCAGATATTGAATGCAAATTAACCATTCTTGATCAGCCTTGATGATTCTATGCTGTAAAATAGTGAAACCTTCAGAAACTACCAAAGATCCCAACACACCCAATGCAGTAGAGCACAATGACAACCTTTTCATTTATTTTTTCCTTTTTTTTTTTTTTTTTGAGACGGAGTCTCACTCTGTTGCCCAGGCTGGAGTGCAGTGGCGTGATCTCGGCTCACTGCAAGCTCCGCCTCCCGGGTTCATGCCATTCTCCTGCCCCAGCCTCCCAAGTAGCTGGAACTACAGGCGCCCGCCACCTCACCTGGCTAATTTTTTTTTTTTTTTTTTGTATTTTTAGTAGAGACGGGGTTTCACCGTGTTAGCCAGAATGGTCTTGATCTCCTGACCTCGTGATCCACCCACCTCGGCCTCCCAAAGTGCTGGGATTACAGGCATGAGCCACCGCGCCCGGCCAACTTCTTCATTTCTTATTTGCAAAGTGGGGATATCACTGCTTCATGGTGTCATGATAATGACAATGTTAATAAATATGATATATGTGAAAAAATAGCAAATACAATGTTGCAAATGCTAGCTATATTTTTTCTGTGTCATGTGTTAATATTATAGTTGCTTCTATGAAGATGTTTTTATTGCTGTCTGTAGCTGTTCCCTTATTTTATGCTAGGCAATTTAAGTGAGGACTTGAGGACACAAATCACAGCAAATACACAGATGTTTGAGACAGCTGCCTGTCACTGCAGACTCTGCATGAAAAAGAGAAAAGATCATGGACTTTGGACCCAGATTGTCCTCTTGCAGCCCTCGGTCCATCTCTCATAAATTGTGTGCTCCTGGACAATGTTACTTAATGCTCTTGAACTCAATTTCTCTATTGTATAAAATAGGAGTAATAATGCTTATGTTGACAGTTTTTTTTTGTGAGGCCTAAATTTTGTAGCGTAGGCACCCAGAAGGATGTCTGATACCACTAGGCATTTGATATTTTAAGTCCTCTCTCTTAATCTTTTTTTTTTTTTTTAATTTTTTTTTGAGATGGAGTTTCGCTCTTGTTGCCCAGGCTGGAGTGCAGTGGTGCAATCTTGACTCACCACAACCTCTGCCTCCTGGTTCAAGCGATTCTCCTGCCTCAGCCTCCCAAGTAGCTGGGATTACAGGCATGCACCACCACACCCAGCTAATTTTGTATTTTTAGTAGAGATGGGGGTTTCTCCATGTTTATCAGGCTGGTCTCAAACTCCTGACCTCAGGTGATCTGCTTGCCTCGGCCTCCCAAAGTGCTGAGATTACAGGCATGAGCCACCATGCCCGGCCAAGTCCTATCTTTCTCAAAAGAATCTTCCTCTAGTAAATTAATTTCTGTGCCTTGGAAAGTTGGGATTACTGACATTCTGAATACTATCAGTCACTTATATTTGTGGCCATTTTTGTGTGTGTGTATGTGTGTGTGTTGAGATTTTGTGTCATAAAGATACTCTGTGCTCTTGTAATGACTGAATATGCTCTTGATTCTGATTTCACCTTTAACAAAACAGCAATAATTATCTTCTTTTACTGAACAAGACAAAGAATAAGTCAATAAGATATTGTAAGTGTTGGAGCAGAGTTCTTGCTACTACCTTTATGCTGCCCAAAGAACATCTGCAACTTCATGGGTTACTAGTGAGATACAGCAGTGAAGGAGGAAGAACCTGGGAACTGTGGGAGATGGGGAAAGGGTGGGAAAGGGGGTTAGTCTGATGTTTTTGGGGTGTGCTGAAGTTAAACCGAGGGCCCTGGGGCATCCACCTGGAGAGCTTGTGCCAATAATTTTGATTTTGCCAAACTTATTAAAAAATTCAAGTGAAAGCTAAACTTTTTATGCATCTTATACAAAGTTAAAATAACACCTTATTTTAAAATTCCTCTGTGTATAGATTTGTTTTCTCTCCAAATGGTCACAGTTACTGAGAGAAACTTAGAAGGTTATTTGAGGTTCACGAGACCCTCTGGGACAAGCCCACTTAATCAGGCCAGCCACTGGGACTTTGAGAAAGACCAGTGTAATGTCACCTGACATGAGTGGGAAAGGGACCCTGAGTGGCTCCCAGGAGCTGTCTGTGCCATTATTAACTGCACATACCAGGATGAATTTGTGGGGACATGAAAAAGGACCAGGCTGGGAATGAAGATGTCTACCTCTTGGTCTAATCTCCTACTATTTGTAGGTCTTGGGATAATTTATTAACTTATTTGAGTGTGTTTTCTCATTTGTTTAATAAGGATAATAATACCAATGCCTTAGAATTATAGGTGGAGATATAAACTCACAATGTAGTGAACGCAAAAATATTTTGCAAAGATTACAAAATACTATATAAAGGATTAATTCATTCTATGTAACTTATTGACATTTAAATCCTTCCGAGATCTGTACACGGCATAATGAATTAGAGCAATGGTGGTCTTGGAGGTCATCTCATTCATAGCTCTAATTTTACATATAGGAAACTGAAGGACAGAAAAAGAGAGAAAGAAACTTGTCCACCGAGTAATATGGCATGCTAGTGCCAAAGCTAAAACTGGAACAAGGGGACTTGACTCCCCTAAGATACTCCCCTCCCCACTTTCATACAACAGTGGCTCTTATAGAAAAGGCATATAAATAGTTGAGTTCAACCAAAACAACTTCAGGCGTTGTTGAAATTCAAGGAGAATTAGGTGAGGATGTCAAGAGAATAAATTTTCAGGACAACCTACCTTTCTTGGCAGATTGATGACAAGCTCCACCCTTATAGGGAAGCATATTCTTCAAGGCTCCTGTCTCCATCATCTGAACTCACACATCATTGTAAGGCTTTGGGGACTCTCAGCACACAGGACTTTGAGTTGTTGGTCACTTACAGATAGATCTATGCTTTACCTCCCCGTTTGAAAGAAGGGAATGTGACTGTGATAAGGCCAACCTCTGAGGAAGGACTGGCTCTTAGCTTAGGAGGGTCCCATGTACATAATGTATCTTTTTCCATAATAGGAAGGGCTCTGAAGAGCAAAGTTGGGACAACTTTGTGCTGATGGCTCTTCCTTTCATTCCAGGTTCTGTTCTCCATAATGGACTTGTGGGTTAACCCAGCCCAAGAATCCCAGATTCATGCATCCTAGAGGCCATGCTATAAAATGCAACCAACAGTGGCTAGGCAGTAGGTTTATGGGGTAGTTGGTAGATGTTTTGGTTTTTCTGATGCCATTATAAATGGTATAGCTTTGAAGTTTTAAATTTTCCAGTTGTTTGCTGCTGGATATAGACATGCAATTGATTTTGGTACATTGACCTTATATTTGTGACTTAATTAAATCTACTAATTAGTTCTAGTAGATTTTTCTAGATTTCTTTCATATACCACCACTCTATTTGTTTGAAAATAAGAAGATTTTAATTATTTCTTTTTGATGTTTCTGTATTTCTTTTCTTGACTTTTAGCACTATCTAGAATCTCTAGTATAATGTTGAATAGAAGTTGTGAGAGTGGACATCCTTGCCTTCTTCCAGACTTTTGAAGGAAAATATTGACTGTTTCATCATTAAGTGTTATGTTGGTTGCTGGAATTTTTGAAGATTATCTCTTCTATTCCAAGATTGCCATTTTTTTCTAACATGAACCAATATTGAATTTCATTAAATATTTTTCTCTTATCTATAGAGATAACATATTTTTTTCCACCATTACGCTGTGAGGTGGTAAATAACCTTGATAGATTTATAAATGTTAATCTAACCTTGCATTTCGGGATAAACCACACTTGATTATTCTTATCTTTATTGTGTTTTGCAAAATTCTTTTAAATAATGCTTTATTTAAGATTTTCAGTATAAGTTCATGAAAACTATTGATCTGTATTTTTTTGGTGAAGATCTTATCAGATATTTTTATTTAAAGTACTGCTGGCATCACAAAATGAGTTAGGTATACTTCCCCCTCTTTTATCCTCTAAAATACTATGTTTAAGATCATCGTTATTTTTTTCCTTACATGTTTGGTAGATTTCACTAGAGAAGCCATCTGGGCCTGAAAATCCTTATAATTAAGAATGTTTTCAAACACAGCTAAGACTTTTAATTTTTTATTTCTTTCTGCACTATTTTGAAAAGTTGTACTTTTAAATGAATATGTCAATTTTCCCTACTTTGTAAAAATTTTTTGGAACAAAGTTGTTTGGAATATCCCCTTTCTATCTTTTTGAAATTTGTAGAATCTTTGTAATGTTTTCCCTTTCATTTCTGATATTGGTAAGTTTATATTCTCTCTGTTTTAATCTTGATCATTCTTGCTAGAGATTTATTAATTTTTGGCTTTGTTGATTTCTAAAATCTTTGCCTGTTAAATCTGTAAATTGATTTCTATTCTTCTACTAATTTTTCTCCCTTCTACTTTCTTAATGTTTAATGTGCTCTTTTTCTTGTTTCTCTCAGATTTTATTTGCCAAAAAGCATTTTTATTTCACTTTCATTTTTGAATGACATTTTCACTAGACAGTTTTTTCCCTTCCTTTAAACATTTTGAATTTATTATTCAATTGTCTTCTGGCTTTTGTTATTTCTGATTAGGTGGTGGGATTTGTGATAAGGAAATTTGGAAGGGAAATATATGGTTGTATGAATCAGCATGGTTCTAGAGTATGGGGATATTTCAATCCCATGACAATTTACCTCCCAATATGCCCTCTGTAGAGGGAATCTTAGTAATTGAGTAGACAAATGACCCAGTTCGTCGTTGTTGGCCAGCCTTCTCTTGGGCTCTGCAGTTCTGGCACAGGGGACTCATAAGCAGCATGAGCATGATGGCTGTCGTGGTGATTGTGCATGGACTTACAAACACGACTTCCTTCTACCAGGGCTGGTTTGGCTGCTGCCACTGCTGAGTACTCGATCTTCCAGCAGTGGATGTCAACACTGAGCAGTCACCATGGCATCATATTGTGGATTGGCTGTTGAGAGATTGCTAGCTGTCCATTTGGTAGTAGTTCAATAATAAACATAGAACTCCTTCAGTCACAGCAGGGGAAACAAATTGTCTTCAGTGCAACACTATCTATGGACTTGCTGAATGCCTGATCACCACCATGAATTATAGTGCTCCATTGCGTCAGGTCAGAACCTCTGAGAGGCTTTAGAAGAATGTGGGTAACAGGTTGTGCTGCTTATTCTCCACGTGTGTCTCCAGATAGAACTATTTTCTAATCTTCTCTCTTTGCTCTATTGCTCAGAAGGCTGACTCTTATTGACTGCTCCACTGGGACACTTTTCATCTTTCAGCTGGGTTTTGCCAAGTGCTGGCACCACCAGGAAATGGAGGGTAAGAAGGGAGAGATCTTAGGGCTTTCATTCCAGCTCCTCCCCTGACCCCCATCTCTCAGCTTCTGGTAGTGGCTATGTTTCTCTACATATGATAGCAGCTTCTGGATAATATGTTGAGAATAGACTCTAGGGAGGAAGGACACAGAAAAGAAATTTAGGAGAAATGATGTGGTACCTCTCTCATGTCTACAGTTCTACCTGGATTCTAGAAACCCCTTTCTCTTGGCCTTTTAGGGCCAGAGGTAATAATGGCCCTGGCTGTTGCTACCCCCAATAAACTACCATTTTGGAGTGTATCCCTCCCCAAATGACCTATTCAATAATGCTTTGATTGTGTTACCTTTTTCTGCTAGGACCCTGACTAACACTTAAGTCCAAAACAGAACATCAGGGCAAATTAAGAGCATGTTCCTAAAAGTCTCTGTTTGATGGTAGCTAATAGTAATAGTTAATATAGTTTATACCAACTATGTGTCAGTAACTACACTAAGATAGGCTTTTACATGAATTACCTAATTTAATATTTATAATCCCCCTTAAAACATAATTACTATAGTTCGTCTCTATTTTACAGATGAGGATACTGAGAGTATAAGTTATGAGAACTTGTGGGGTGGGAGCTAGTCCTGGGCGGCTGGGCTCCAGAGCCCTAACTCCATTCTTTAAACTATGCCACCTGACCAGGCAGCTGGCAAGTGCTTGAGAGCACAGACCTGGGAGCCAAACTGTCTGGATTTCAATATTGGACCTGCTATTTACTTGTTGGCTGACCTTGGACAGAGCTTTCTGTGCCTCAGTTTCATCATGTATAAAGTGGGAAGATAATTATTCCTGACTCCTAGGGTTGTGATGAGGATGAAATAAATATCAGTAAAGCACAAAGAACCCCACTTTGGATGTGGCGTATGTGCATAAATGTCCAGAGCATAGTGGTTCACAGCATCCAGGTCTACCTCTGGGTAGGTAGACCTGGTTTGAATACATGCCTTGCTATAGTCAATGTGTTAAAAGAGTGGAACTCTATATGGAACAAGAATTTAAAAAAATTATTTTCCCCACTATCTCTTCAAGGCCATTCAGTGGGCTATTTTGTCTTGTTTCTGGATAAAGCATTGGACAGGTCTCATATTTTCTGGTCACAGTCAGATAAGGAAAACCCTCTGTTCATTTTTAATCACAAAATAATCTCATTTTAGTAATTAATTTGTTTAGTCCTCTATAATACCCAAATCTTGAATTTCATTTTATATTGAAGTTTCTCCCCTTCCCCAACTCAATAATACTTCAGGCAGGGAAGCCTACAGTTGGGGGCGGTGGGCCTCGATGGTCTTCTTTCTTTCCTATTTTGCGCAACTCTTCCCTCCCACCAAACCCCCTCTCCCATGTGCTTTGGCTCCTCTAGGGGTAAAAAGGAGGGCATGGGAAAGAGTTAAGGAGAGAAAAAGGTGCTACTTGGTGAAGCTTGGCATGATCAAATATTGTTACCCTCAGGGCCTGGTGGACATTTGAAGCTTAGTCCTTTTCTTACAGAATGTTTCTTACAGAATGTTTTTGCAGATACCCCTATCCTGGGGATCAACTGCTGTTCTCTTAACACAGTTAAGAGGCCACTTACTACTTAATCACAATGTCTAGCTTTTCTTTAGCCTATCTTGCCAGCTTGCTTCCAGGAGGACATGAACATTATTATTATTGGGCATGAACATTATTATTTTTTAATGTAAATAAGAAAATTTGAATGTATAAAATAAACAGTGATTTCTATCCTTGAAAATACACTTGCTAAATCTTTAGTGGGTATTGACTGGTATTTTTGGTCATTAAGGCAATTCATTAGCCAACAGTGATTTCCAAGATCAGCCAGGTTCAAACCACATGCGTCTCTCTTTAACAGAGAAACTGCTTTTATTAATGCCTGATCATTTTCTTGTCAATGAAGTGGTGGGTGCCAGTGACTCATGACAAGTTACTGGTAGGCACAGATCAGGAATATTTCACCGTGACCTTTGATATGAATTTTTGGTACCCTACAAAGACAAAATATGTGTTTGCTGTTTGCAAAGGAATCCCAGACCTTTATGGGCACTAAGAACTCATAAAGCCAATGAGCCATATATATGAAAATGATCCTTGCATCTAGTCTTCAACAAGCCAGTATCTGCTAATCAGTTTGGGAAATAAATATGAGCAAGTAGGGCTTTGGGAGAGTGTGGTGTCTGTTGGTGACTGGGATTTCTCTTGAAATCATCTTGCCTTTCCTTATGCTTTCTCTATGGAAAGACCTGAGTGTCGTTCTAATTTGCTGAACAATAACAAAGTAGGTAGAACAGAAACAAAGGATTGAATGTAGGCTTTCAATTCCTAGTTTTCAAATTTTTAAGTTTTCAGTTATAATCAAAAGATACTTCATAGCACTGTATACTTTTGCTTTTACATATCACAGATGTGTAATAGAATGATTGACTACCAGAATGAGCATCTTGAATATTTACTGATATTTCTAAATCAAATTCAGATGTATTATAATACCACATCTTTTATTTCTTTTTCTTTGTATGTGATAGACTGGAAATGTTGACTCTCTCTCTCTCTCTCTCTCTCTCTCTCTCTGTGTGTGTTTATGAACACACACAGAGAGAGAGAGAGAGAGAGAGAGAGAGAAGGTCTGGTATGCAAGTTAATTCTGTTAAAAAGTTGGCACAGGTGGCTGGGTGCAGTGGCTCATGCCTGTAATTCCAGCACTTTGGGAGGCTGAGGCAGGCAGATCACCTGAGGTCAGAAGTCCGAGATCAGCTTGGCCAACATGGTGAAACCCTGTGTCTACTAAAAATACAAAAAATTAGCTGGCATGGTGGCGCGTGTCTATAGTTCCAGCTACTTGGGAGGCTGAGGCAGGAGAATCTCTTGACCCTGGGAGGCAGAGGTTGCAGTGAGCTGAGATCATGCCATTTCACTCCAGCCTGGGCAACAGAACAAGACACCGTCTCAATGGCAGTCTCAAAAAAAAAAAAAAAGTTGGCACAGGATTTCTTATGTGGCCTCTAATGTGACTAAGTCTGCCATTCAGACTTTCAACAAATATTCATTGTTTCTCACGTTCCAGAAACTTCACTAGTTTCTGGGCTGACACAGTTAATTAAATGCTGGTCCCCCCAGGTGCTTACATTAGAATGCAATCTCTTCCACTGTTGTGTATAGAGCATGGGCCTTGAAAATTATTCACTGTGATATACATTGATTCCCTATTCGGTGCCCAAACAATGAGATAATCCTTGTTTAAATGTTTTTTAGAACTTTCATTTGAAAGTGCTTTTTCATATAACATTTCTGTATGTGGAGAGCTTAGTTTTATGAGGAGTGGGGATTTTTCTTATGCAGATTTCCTTTGTAAATTTGGAGTCACTGATGAGGTGGCAAGGGTGGGAGATTTAGTGGATGATGGGAGATATATACAACTTCTTTGGAAGTTGCCAAAATCAATACAAACAAGATGTTTGCTATCACAGCTTTCAGAATTTGGATCCATAAAAGTATTGTGGTTTTGTCTAGGACCAAGAGGCACTGATTTTTATTTTACTATAATATTGCAGATTGCGCCATTGGCAACAGAACTTATCATACAATTCTTTTGGCAAGATAAAGTCTGGTTCTACTTCATTCTGAAGTTGGGTTGTCTATGGATTTGGGGTGGATTAGCTCCATTGGTGGGAGTCTAGGAACATTGAGACTTAGCTAAAACTCTGATTCCCAATTAGACATCAATCACTGCCACACAAAAGAAAAGGAGTTTCTTCTTCGCCAGTGGATGACACATAACATGGGCCACCATAGATAAATCATAGCTAAACCTCATCAAGGTTATAAGGAGGATGTGATTATTTGGTTTCTCCAATCACCTCTCCCAAAGGGATAATTCAACATATTTTACACGTTGACTTCGGCAGTATGGTTTTCAAAGTTTTTGTGAAGCAAACCTTGAAAGCATACTAGAGAAATACCTAGCAAAATCCAGATCCACTGGCAACTTCTGTCAGAGAGGGTGATTAAGTTTGACCCCAGGGGCTAACTCTGCCTTGGTTCTTCCTGAGAAAAGGAAACGGCATTCTTACAGTGCCAGAACTAGCATACTTATCATCAGGATATGATGATGGTCAGTATTTGGCTCTCCCATCCTGGATATCTTTTGTGAATCAAACCTATTTATACTGAGGAGGAGTGGAGTAGTGTTCAAGAAGCAGGCCTCTAGTGTCTACTTTTCCAAATGTTTCCCAAGGTTGTAGACATGCCCTCAGGCATGATTTTTTTCTCAAGCCCTCACAGTTTTTGCAGTTGTCTTGGGTTGAGAAAATGACATTACTCAGCCATAACCAGTTTCTTGCCAAGACCTTCCATAAAATGCATAATAAAGAAACATTTTAAAAACATGTTTATTTGGCCTTTCTTTTTGGTAGAGGAGACACTGAAGGCCTGATTTTTCCAGGAAGATAGGGAACAAGAGGGTGATGGTCTAATGGCCACACTGAATTGAGGTAGGTGGGAAGAACTAATAGATATAGATATTAAGAATTTGCAAAAGAAAGCAGGTAGTTTTTGGCACCAGAGAAGGGAATAGAAGACAAGTGAGAAGTTGGTATGCCATGTGTTCCTATTCAATGCAGTTCTATAGTCTATGGCAGGGCACTCAGGAGACAGAAGCCGGAGGGTGACTTATGGCAATGAAATACACGTTGACTTAGTAATGCCCATTGACTTTGCATGGGACAGGCTGTAGAGGGCTACAGTAGATGATGATATGATACTCTTTCATATATGTGTACACGCAGAGACACACACAATTTTTTGTTATTGTTCCAAACTAAATTATATGTTATGCAGTAAATATAGAGAAAAGATTCCTGGTTCAGACCTTACCAGCATGAATTACTTTGCAATCATTCCTCTGTGACTGATGATTCATTTTTATCATCTTCCAAAAAACAGCAACCATGCCCATACCCTATTGAGACAAGGCTAAGGGTATATAAGAGTATCTGCCATACCATTCCCCAGCCTGGGCCTAATCCAAGGATGCAAGCCACTCCCAATGTGGCATTTCATAAAAATTGCATGTGACACATGGAAGCCCCTCATTAGCAGGTGGTCCCATTGACCAGAATCCCAGCACAGAGGGTAGAAAAAAACTGCAAATGATGCCCCTGCTTCTTGGGTATGGTTTTCCAGAAGAAGCAAAAGCTGTCATTAGCCAGTTGATTCCTTTGTGGGATCCTCTGAAGGCTTGGTGTCCATTTTTTTACTGATCGGACCTAATTAATACCGTTAGGAATCACCACCTTCTCTTTTCACTACAGACTCATAAATCACACATATTCTGGATGGAGACAGTTAGAATTTGCCTATAGTAGGTGTGTGTTTGCTCTAGTGGCTCTTTCTCTCCGTGTGTGTGTGTGTGTGTGTGTGTGTGTGTGTGTGTTTTAAGCAGCTTACCCTCTGGCTTAGCTGAGGCCACAGTTTGAGGAAAGGACTTCTTGAGGAAGTGGAGGTAAGGCATTTAATCTGGAAGAGTTGTGGCTTCTTGGGCAATTACAATTTGTCTCCTAAGCATTTATGTTCATACACATGCTCGGATGTCATCAGTGGGCAGTCTAGGAGTATCCACCACTAGGCGCCATGATGAGAAAGTCTGGAGGTTTTTTGTCATCCTGTAGGCAGATTTTGCCTTTACACCCTAGGTGCCCATAAATGTGTCTCATTATTATAATTGTTTTTACAGGGGTACCAGTAGGCCAATTAGCTCCTCAGAGTGAGCCTCACCAGGCAGTACTGGCTGGGCAGGAAATCCCTGAAAAGTATGGTTGAGCCGGGGTGATGTGTCCTTGCCCTGGGAGACCTGGTTCTGAATCTACTGTTTAAAGACAATGGGAAAAGCAAGGCTAGCTTAATATCTGGACGCGTGGGCTTCTTTCTTTTAAAAACTTTTATTTTAGGTTCAGGGATGCATGTGCAGGTTTGTTATATAGGTAAACTCATGCACAAGGGTTTGTTGTACAGATTATTTCATCACTCAGGGACTAAGCCTAGTACCCAATAGTCTTTTTTTTCTGCTACTTCTCCCACCCTGTACCCTCAAGTAGGTCCCAGTGTTTGTTGTTCCCCTCTTCTTTGGGTCCAATTGTTCTCATCATTTAGCTTCCAGTAAGAACATGTGGTATTTGGTTTTCTGTTCCTGAGTTAGTTTGCTAAGCGTAATGGCCTCCAGCTCCATTCAAGTTCCTGGAAAAGAGATGATCTCATGCTTTTAATGGCTGCATAGTATTCCATGGTGTATATGTACCCCATTTCCTTTATCCAACCTACTGTTGATGGGCATTTATGTTGATTCCATGTTTTTGCTGTTGTGAATAGTGCTGCAATAAACATTCATGTGTACGTGTCTTTATAATAAAATGATTTATATTCCTTTGGGCATCTACCCAGTAATGGGATTGCTGGGTTGAATGGTAGTTCTGTCTTTAGCTCTTTGGGGAATTGCCACACTCCTTTCCGTAGTGGTGGAACTAATTTACACTCTAACCAACAGTGTATAAGTTTAGGCTTTTCTCTACAACCTTGTTAGCATCTGTTATTTTTTGACTTTTTAATAACAGCCATTCTGACTGGTGTAAGATCATATCTCATGGTTTTGATTTACATTTTTCTAATGATCAGTGATATTGAGCTTTTTTTTCATATGCTTTTTGGCCTTATGTATGTATTCTTTCGAAAAGTGCCTGTTTATTTCATGTCCTTTGCCCACTTTTTAATGGGTGGGGTTGTTTGATTTTTTTTTCTTGTAAATTTGTTTAAGTTCCTTTTAGAATCTGGCTATTGGACCTTTGTCAGATGCATAGTTGGCAAATATTTTCTCCCATTCTGTAGGTTGTCTGTTTACTCTGTTGATAGTTTCTTTTTCCGTGCAGAAGCTCTTTAGTTTAATTAGATCCCATTTGTCAATTTTGGCTTTTGTTGCAATTACTTTTGGCATCTTTGTCATGAAATCTTTGCCAATTTCTAGGTCCAGAATGGTATTGCCTAGATTGTCTTCCAGGGTTTTTATAGTTTTTGGTTTTACATTTAAGTCTTTAATCCATCTTGAGTTGATGTTTGTATATGGTGTAAAGAAGGGGTCTAGTTTCAATCTTCTGCCTATGGCTAGCCAGTTATCCAAATACCATTTATTGAATAGAGATTCGTTTCCCCATTGCTTGTTTTTGTCAGCTTTGTTGAAGATCATGTGGTTGTAGGTGTGCAGCCTTATTTCCAAAACCTCTATTCAGTTCCATCAGTCTGTGTATTTGTTTTTGTACTGTTACCACGCTCTTTCGGTTACTGTAGCCCTGTAGTTTAGTTTGAAATCAGGTAATGTGATACCTCCAGCTTTGTTCTTTTTGTATAGGATTACCTTGGCTATTTGGGCTCTTTTTGGGTTCCTTATGAATTTCAAAACAACTTTTTTCTGGTTCTGTGAAGAATGTCATTGGTAGTTTGGTAAGAATACCATTGAATCTGTTAATTGCTTTGGGCAATATGGCTGTTTTAACAATATTGATTCTCTCTATTCATGAGCATGGAATGTTTTTCCATTTATTTGTGTCATCTCTGGTTTCTTTGATCAGTGTTTTGTAATTCTTATTGTAGATATCTTTTACCTCCCCGATTAGCTGTATTTCTCAATATTTTCTTCTTTTTATGGAGGCCTGGGCTTCTTTACTTTGTGTCATGATCCTTTGTTAATCCACCTAAGAGAAGAGAATGCAGACACCAACCTACTTTGGATGACACAGGTGTGCAAACTAACTCTTTCCCCCTTCTTTCCTGACATATCTATGATGATCTTGGGCATGTTACCTAGGAAGAGTCAGGAGGGCAAACTGTAAAGTCCACCTTACAATAGTTCATTTCTTGAAAGAATTTTTATGCATGTATTTTGGACAAGCTCTCATAGAGTGGCTGACTCATTCATTATTCAGTTACTTTTTTCTTTTTTGGACAGATACTATCTGAAAGACAAGTCAAGCTTCTGAAAAGTGACTTCCAAATTATAAAACAATTTCTGATTTGAACAAAGTTGTACTTAGGAAAGCCCATTCTTTCTTGTCTTCTACCATACATCTTTGGGGAAGAAATGAGGAGCCAGTTGCCACATGGCCCAGCTCAGCCCAATCCATTTTGAAGCAGGTGCTCTGGATGAAAGAATAGCCAGAAATGAAGGCTGTGACCTGTGTAGTGCTATGACACACATACACATGGGATGCACTGGGGACTTGTTTTCCAAATAATGTGCCCTTTATCCCTCCTGACCAAGACAGGACTCTTGGGAAGATGCCTCCTTGAATACAATTAACATATGGAACACTTTGCTTCTGGACCATTGGTATTTTTGGGGTCATAGCAATTTGTATTGAGTGGGGAGGACTCATACCTTTGTAGGTGCAGACCAGAAGATCGACCCACTGATCTGCATTTATTAAGCAACTACAGCGAAGCAAGCAGCATGTGAAACATTGTGGGAGTGCATAGGCATGAGGCGCAAGGCATGAGTCTGCCTGCAGGTGGATAGGTCAGTCTGGAAAATAGATAAGTGAAAACAACTGTGCACGTACCTATTCAGTCCCTGGCAATAGAGAGGATGGATCAATGGAGATAGCAATGGTCAGGGATGACTTTGCAGGAAACTGGGTCCAAGGGTGGTAAAGGAATGAAACAGAAGAGAAGGACCTTGCCCCCTTATGCAGATGGGTAATGATGGAACATGGTGGGGCCTGAGATTCTCATCTGAAATCGGCACAAGCACCTAGTTTTCCAGGACAGTGTTCATCTGAGGGCTACCTTCCCTGCAGTGGCAGAAGAATGGCTTTAAAAATGAACATTGTGCTTTTTAACTGGGTGCTTTG
This sequence comes from Homo sapiens, assembly GCF_000001405.40. Classification (NCBI taxonomy): domain Eukaryota; kingdom Metazoa; phylum Chordata; class Mammalia; order Primates; family Hominidae; genus Homo; species Homo sapiens. The sequence goes on along the minus strand of NC_000002.12, from coordinate 19,282,828 downwards.
CCTCCATGGGTTTAGAGAATTCCTAGGGATCAGAGACTCAGGAGCCACTCTTACTGCTCACCTTGAATTGCCACTTTTGAGCTTTCCAGGGTTTTCTTTGACCATTTCAATGACAAAAGAAAATTATCGTGGAGGTGGGAAGTATATTTTTAGAATAAAAGATATTTTAAAAATGAGACAAAACTGCAAAATTTTGAAATTTGACAGAAGCAGACAACATTCTCCATTCCTATGATAAAACTCTGTCCAGTTTCTTGGCCCTTTGAATACCACAGATAAGCTTCCGTTTCTGGCCAGAGGGGAAGGGGCTCATGCAGAGATCTGCAGAGGCTCAAAGTGACACCTGTGCAGAGGCTGCCAGTGCTGTGGTATTGCAGGCCCAGATTCCCTTCTTTTACCTTAATTAGCTGGACGTATAGGATTTGGCTCCAGAAAACCCAGTTTTTAATGCAAGCTTCGACCATCTTACTTGCTGTGTAACCTTATGGAAGTGAGTCCACCTCTCTGAGTATTTGTTTCCTCATTTGTACAACCAGCCTGAGCACTATCTAAACTCTCATAGGTTTCATGAGGTTGTTTGTTTTGTTTTGCTCTATTGTGGGTCAAGTTCAGTGAGAGAAGCCAGGTACAAGGAGTGGAGCTTGCAGTCGAATTAAAAAACAATCAAAGCAATAATTTTAATGCAACATGAGGAATGTGAGAAAAGTGTTAAAAGTGATTTAATAAATGCATATGTGCATAGTGTTCAATAAAGCCTGAGGGAAATATGTGGTGTAGGCAGAAACGACGAATCAGGCAAAGCTTATGTGAAGTGGTGCTTCATCTGAGGATGGAAGGTGAGGAGTCAGGTCAGGGAAACACAGTGGGAGGAACATCAATCTAGAGAAGCTTCAGTGTTTGGCTTATTTCACTTAGCACAATGTCCTGCAGGTTCATCCATCTTGCTGCAAATGGCAGGGTTTCCTTCTTTTTTTATGCCTGAATAATATTCCATTGCATATGTACACCGTATTTTCTATATCCATTCATCTGTTAATAGACTCATAGAAGCAGAGAGTAGAATGGTGGTTTTCCAGGTCTCGGGGCTGGAAAAAAAAGGGGCATATTGGTCAAAGGGTACAAAGTTTTAGTTATAAAATGAATAAGTTCTGGGGATCAAATGTACAACATGATGATTATAATTAATAATACTGCATTGTTTACTTGAAATTTGCTGAGAGTAGATCTTAAGTGCCCTCACCCACACATATGCACACACATGTTATAATTATGTGTGGGGAAGGATGTGTTAATTGCTAATAGTTTGCTTGTGGTGGTCATTACATAACATATACATATACCAAATCGTGTTGTACACTTTGAACATATACAATTTTTATTTGTCAATTATATCTTAATAACTCTGGAAAAAATAAAGAGAAGGTTCTGTCTGAATAAAAGTATAGAAATGTGGAGGCAGCTGGGCATGGCTGAAGCATACCATGAGGGTATAGGTGGGTGGGCGGGGTGGGAAGGTGTGTTGGTGGCTTGCCTCGTGGAGCAGGGCGTCAGACTCTGAAGACATCAAGCTTCTTCTCAGTCACATCTCTCCTGCCCAGCTTTTCTGAAATCTCACCATTCGCCCACACTCTCTAGCCACCTTCTCTGTCCTCTTTTCTTCAGAGAAGCTCTCACCATTGGAAATTAAATTTAACTTTTAATTTAAATGTCTTATTCAATGTACCAGAATTTCCAGGACACAGCTAAAGCAGTGTTAAGAGGGAAACTTACAGTATTAAATGCCCACATCAGGAAGCTGGAAAGATCCCAAATCGACACCCTAACATCACAATTAAAAGAGCTAGAGAAGCAAGAGCAAATAAATCCAAAAGCTTAACAGAACACAAAAGATAACTAAGATCAGAGCAGAACTGAAGGAGATAGAGATATGAAAAACCCTTCAAAAAAGCAAGGAATCCAGGAGCTGGTTTTTAAAAAACTTAACAAAATAAATAGACCACTCACTAGACTAATAAAGAAGAAAAGAGAGAAGAATCAAATAGACCCAATAAAAAAATGATAAAGGGGATATCACCACTGACCCCACAGAAATACAAACTACCATCAGAGAATACTATAAACACACTGTGCGAATAAACTAGAAAATCTAGAAGAAATGGATAAATTCCTGGATGTATAAACCCTCCAAAGACTAAACCAGGAAGAAGTCAAATCCCTGAATAGACCAATAACAAGTTCTGAAATTGAGGCAGTAATTAATAGCCTGCCAACCAAAAAAAGCCCAGTACCAGACGGATTCACAGCTGAATTCTACCAGAGATACAAAGAGGAGCTGGTAGAATTCAGAAATTATTCCAAACAATTGAAAAGGAAGGACTCCTCTCTAACTCATTTTATGAGGCCAACATCATCCTGATACCAAAACCTGGCAGAGATACAACAATAACAAAAAACTTCAAGCCAATATCCCTGATGAATGTCGATGTGAAAATCCTCAATAAAATACTGGCAAACCGAATCCAGCAGCACATTCAAAAACTTACACACCCCGATCAAGTTGGCTTCATCCCTGGGATGCAAGCCCTGTTCAACATATGCAAACCAATAAATGTAATCCATCACATAAACAAAATCAATGACAAAAACTACATGATCATCTCAACAGATGCAGAAAAGGCCTGTGATAAAGTTCAACATCCCTTCATGTTAAAAACTGTCAATGAACTAGGTATTGATTGAACATGCCTCAAAATAATAAGAGCTATTTATGGCCCAGCGCGGTGGCTCACACCTGTAATCCTGGCACTTTGGGAGGCTGAGTTGGGTGGATCACGAGGTCAGGAGATCAAGACCATGCTGGCTAACATGGTGAAACCCCATCTCTACTAAAAATACAAAAAAAAAAAAAAAAAATTAGCCGGCCGTGATAGCAGGCGCCTGTAGTCCCAGCCACTCGGGAGGCTGAGGCAGGAGAATGGCATGAATCCAGGAGGTGGAGCTTGCAGTGAGCCAAGATCGTGCCACTGCACTCCAGCCTGGGCAACAGAGTGAGACTCCATCTCAAAAAAAAAAAAAAAAAAAAAAAAAAGAGCTATTTATGACAAACAGCCAATATCATACTGAATGGGCAAAAACTGGAAGCATTCTCTTTGAAAACTGGCACAAGACAAGGATGCCCTCTCTCACTACTCCTATTCAACATAGTATTGGAAATTCTGGCCAGGGCAATCAGGCAAGAGAAAGAAATAAAGGATATTCAAATAGGAAGTCAAACTGTCTCTGTCTGCAAATAACGTGTTTCTGTATTTAGACAACCCCATTGTCTTGGCTCAAAAACTCCGTAAGCTGATAAGCAACTTCAGCAAAGTCTCAGGATACAACATCAGTTTGCCAAAATCACAAGCATTGCTATACACCAACAATAGACAAGCAGAGAGCCAAATCATGAATGATCTCTCATTCACAATTGCTACAAAGCGAATAAAATACCTAGGAATGTAGCTAATAGGAGATGTGAAGGACCTCTTCAAAAAGAACTACAAACCACTGCTGAAGGAAATAACAGAGAACACAAATGGAAAAATATTCTGTCCTCATGGATAGGATAAATCAATTTTGTGAAATTTCACAATCAATATTGTGAAAATGGTCATACTGCCCAAAGTAATTTACAGATTCAATGCTATTCTCATCAAATTACCATTGACATTCTTCACAGAGTTAAAAAAAAACTACTTTAAGTTTCATATGGAACCTAAAAAGAGCCTGTACAGCCAAGATGATCCTAAGCAAAAAGCAAAAAGAGCAAAGCTGCAGGCATCACGCTACCTGACTTCAAACTATACTGCAAGGCTATAGTAACCAAAACGGCATGGTACTGGTAACAAAACAGACATATAGACCAATGGAACAGAATGGAGACCTCAGAAATAACACCACACTTCTACAACCATCTGATCTTCGATGAACTGGACAAAAATAAGCAATGGGGAAAGGACTCCCTATTTAATAAATGATGCTGGGAAAACTGGCTAGCCATATGCACAAAACTGAAACTGGACTCCTTCTCTATACCTTATACAAAAATTAACTCAAGATGGATTAAAGACTTAAATGCAAAACCCCAAACCATAAAAACCCTGGAAGAAAACCTAGGCAATACCATTCAGGACATAGGCATGGGCAAAGACTTCCTGACAAAAATGCCAAAAACAATTGCAGCAAAAGCCAGAATTGACAAATAGGATCTAATTAAACTAACGAGCTTCTGCACAGAAAAAGAAACTATCATTGGAGTAAACAGGCAACCTACATAATGGGAGACAATTTTTGTAATCTACCCATCCAACAAAGATCTAATATCCAGAGTCTGCAAGGAACTTAAACAAATTTACAAGAAAAAAAAAACCCCATCAAAACGTAGGCAAAGGATATGAACAGACACTTCTCAAAAGAAGACATTTATGCATCCAACAAACATATGAAAAAAAGCTCAACATCACTGATCATTAGAGAAATGCAAATCAAAACCACAATGAGATACCATCACACACCAGGCAGAATGGTGATTATTAAAAAGTCAAGAAACAATAGATGCTGGTGAGGCTATGGAGAAATAGGAATGCTTTTATGCTGTTCTTGGGAATATAAATTAGTTCAAACATTGTGGAAGACAGTGCGGCGATTGCTCAAGGATCTAGAACCAGAAATACCATCTGACCCAGCATTCCCATTACTGGGTATATACCCAAAGGAATGTAAATCATTCTGCTATAAAGACAGATGCACACGTATGTTTATTGCAGCACTATTTACAATAGCAAAGACATGGAACCAACCCAAATACACATCAGTGATAGACTGGATAAAGAAAACATGGTACATATACTCCATGGAATACTATGCATCCATTAAAAGGAAAGAGATCATGTCCTTTGCAGGGACATGGATGAAGCAGGAAGCTGTCATTCTCAGCAAACTAACAAGGAACAGAAAACCAAACACTGCATGTTCTCACTTATAAGTGGGAGTTGAACGATGAGAACACATGGACACAGGGAGGTGAACGACATACACCAGGGCATGTCAGAGGGTAGGGGGAGAGGGGAGGGAGAGCATTAGGAAAATAGCTAATGCGTATGGGGCTTAAAACCTGATGGTGGGTTAATAGGTGCAGCCAATCACCATGGCACACATATACCTATGTAACAAACCTACATGTTCTGCACTTGTATCCTGGAACTAAAAGTAAATTTAAAAAAATTCTTATTCATAACTGAAAACAAAAATTAATTGTCTTCTTTACTAATGTCCCTCAGTGTCTGTACATGTAGTTTGGCATACAGGAGACACAATTATTCTCCTATGAAGACAGTATTATTGGGTGCCTACATCCTAGATTTTAAGAGATGCTCTAAGACACATAGTCAGTGTCCCTGGGTCTATTGTAGACAGGACAGGAAGCATTCACCTTGTCCTTTGCTGCAAAGCCCTTTGAGGTTAGAAACTGAATGTGTTTTAGGGAATGATAGAATAAATGTCTATTCCTCTTTTGGCTTCTGCAACGAAGAAAGGCAGAGGGGGAAGTGGTCAACTCATAGGACCTAAAGAGTAGATAAAAGGAATATATAGCCTCTCTATTTTTGTCACAGAGTCCTTTATGATTTTAGCAGTGGAATAGATGTCTGCTTTGAGCACCTGGTATGTCCTAAGGTTTGACATGCCTCCTTTACTCTGCCACATCGTAAAATGCCACAATGTGTTGGGTTAAAGTGGCTTCACCAGATGTATCCCAATTAAGTTCATTTCCACTTTCATTTGTAGTAGCTGCTACTGTCATATTTTATGCTTCCTTTGGGAAGGAATATACTGAAGGACTCAAGTGGCTGAGTCCTTGAATTTTCTGACCCCTCTGAAATTGCCAATTTATAATGGAATAAGAGAGGAAACATTTGGCATCTTTACTACTCCAAGAAAGTTGGTGGCACATACTTTCAATGAGAACTTTATCGAATTTCAATTACACCTGCCTTCTGTAATAATTGCAATCCTAGAAAACATGTTAATTGAGTCTTAGTTTTTCCATTGACTTTTTTCTGTGTGTGTGACAGTGTCTTGCTCTGTCATCCAGGCTGGAGTTCAATGGCGGAATCATAGCTCACTGCAGCCTCAAACACCTGGGCTCAAGCAATCCTCCACCTCAACCTCCTGAGTAGCTGGGACTACAGACACACACCACCACCCCTGGTTAATTTTTAATATTTTTTTTTTGTAGAGATGAGGTCCGACCATGTTGACCAAACTGGTCTTGAATTCCTGGCCTCAAGTGATCCTCTTTCCTCAGCCTCCCAAAGTGCTGGGACTACAGGCATGATGAGCCACAGTGCCTGACCTCCACTGACTTTTATTCAAATACTAGAGACTCGTTTTCTGTATCTCTAGTAACTCTTAAAGGCAGCTAGTGATGCTTAATGCTGACTCTTCCTCAGCCTTTCCCCTGGCCAAATAGCTAATGGCTTGTGATCTATTCTAGCAGAGAATTTAATGATGAGATTACATTCAGAGAAGGCATGGGGTTAGGGAATCCAACAGAGGCTCTGCACCCAGGGGTTTGTAACCATGGGAAACCATTAAACCTTGAAGTTTAGGAGGAGAAGAGCAGTAGTGTTACTGGACCTTGGTGAGAGCTGGAGCTGCAGCAGAGGAGCTAGGGCTGACATAGAAAGCAGCCAAAGCCAGAACCAAGAGGGGAATGCAATGCGAGGGTAAAAGTCTATACCCCAGCCTCTGTCTCTTCCTGTCCTTTGCTTTCCTGCTAGTGCCTCTCAATGACCAAAATGGAATGGAAGCTCCAGGGCAGAGAGCAGAAAGAAGGTCAGAGGATGACTGGGGACTGTGGCAAACAGAGGATAACCAGCTATGAGCATAAGCATGCATTAATATACCCAGAAGGTCCTACAATAGAACCTGGCAGTGAGTTCCTTTGTAAAATGAAAAGCTCCAAATATCTAAATAAATAAATTTATTCCTTCAAGAAACATGCATCAAGTGCCTTCTCTTGCTAAGATCTCTATTTGATGCTTGTAGATTTTACTTTGGGTTTTCGTTCAGTGACTTCTCTGCAGAGCTAAGCTAACCTGGATAATTTACAAAAATAACAGGGAATCTTCCGGGATTGCTTTAAAAAAATCTGGCCCCAGCTTTGAGGATGACCTTCATTTCTGTTGGTATTCCTCACATCTGGCCAGGTCTAGGCATTGTTTTGGTAAGTGACTGAAGTCTTGCCACATTCCAGGGGTCTCGAGTATAGGCTATGTTTGCATTTATTGGGCCCAGTCTTTGGTACTCTGCAGAGACTTGAAGAAAAAGAACCTCAACTCTCTGTCTGAGAACTTGTGAGCAACTCCAGTGATACCAGTGAGGAGAGAGCAGAGCTGGGGAAAGGTCTGGCTCAGATATTTCTAAGCTCATCCTTTGCCTGGGTGGAACTGTTTGACCGGCCACAAGGAACCTACTGAGAATTTGAAAGATTCCATCTCCCATACTAAGAGAGTATGTTTTGGGTCTCTTTTATGTTAAATGATGTTCATGTAATTCCTGGGTATTTTGCACCAACTGCTCGACATTTCTCAGTGGGTTTGTATAAGTTTCTCTAGGAATTGGTGAGGATTGTTTTTCACAGTGGGGGAAGAGTAGTAGGTACAATAATTGAAAAAAAAGTTAAGCTTGAAGAGATGTAGGAAATATTTAGACCAGCGTGTTTTTTTATGGATGGATAAATTGAGGGTCCCAGAGGGCTGGAAATTTGTACAGAGTCACATGGTAAGGATGAGGCCAGGCAGGGACACAAAGTGGGATAGAAATGGCTGAGAAGCAGGCTGGCTATTGCCAAGAGACTCAGCAGTGCTGCCGTGGAATCCACACTGCTCCTCATGGGGTGTGTTCACTGGAAGGTGAGGATTCCCAGAGTGCAAACAACCAAACAGGTGTGTGTGCTGTCCTTACAGGTTCTTGAGACTCCCCTTACCTGGACCACTCTCCATGAATACTCAGAGATGAGAAGAAAGTTCCCATGATATAGTTTAGAAACTGAACTTGAAAAAATGGAACATTGTTTAAACCCCTACATTATCAACTGTGTGAAGCTTGCAGGAGAGAAAGATCCTGAGATTCATGCCTAGTGACTCAGGCTGCTCCAAGATTTACAAACTCCACCACCAAACCAGCAGTCTGTGCTTGCAATAGTGGAATAAGAGCTAACATTTAGTGGGTATTCACCATGCACTGGTCATTATTTTAGGCAATTTCCATTGTTAACTAATTTAGTTCTCATGAATACCCTATGAGGTAGATACTAGTATTATTCCTGTTGTATAGATGAAGAACCTGAGCTCAGAGGTCAGGTGACATGTTCACAATCACAGAGTTAGTAAGTAACCCCACTGGAATTCAAATCTCAGTATTTAACTGCTCGGCCCATGTACTTGATCATGGAGCTCTAGTGCTTTCTTTTTGTTGTCTTACCACTACTATATCCATAAGGTGTATTTTGTTTTCTGAGGACCCTCCAGTGCATAGGTCCAAGTACTTCTGTCTATTTAAAAAAAATCAAGAGGAATAAGTTTCTGAGCTATTATCATTGAGTACATATGGAAACAAATAAGAGAACAATAGTTACTGGGGTTCACTTGAGGTGGGAAGGTAGGAGGAGGGTGAGGATAGAAAAACTACCTGTAGGGGGAGGGTGAAGATAGAAAACTACCTATCGGTGACTATACTCTCTACCTAGGTAATGAAATCTTTTGTATATCAGACCCAGTGACATGCAATTTACCCATGCAACAAACAGCACATGTACCCCCTGAAGTAAAAGCTGAAAAAGAATAAAACAAGAAAAAACAAAAGTTTCTGAGTTATCATCACTGAGTATTCTCTATGCCACACCAGTCTCCACCTATAAATGTATGGCTTCAAAGCCAGTATGCAGTTAGTCTAAACAGGCTTTCACCAGCCCCTTAACTGGACAGCTTTATGCAGTGTACAAATTTCATGTCTGAACAGCCCAGTTCAAAGTGTACTGGTTCGATGGCACAAGTAAAAGTTACTCAGTGTTCTTAGGCTCCCAAGAATCTTTCCAGGACTTTTCAGTAAGAACATTATTTAGTGATTATTAAAGTTTTGGAAAAGATAATTATAGTGAAGTTTCTTCTTATACAGCATTGATATCCAGTGTATCAATAATACCACGGTATTATTGTTTCTGTGTTATAGCTGGAGAAACAAAGACCCAGCAATGGAGATCAAAGGATTGTGAGTCAGCAACCTGCAGGTCCCATCCTGGATCTGCCTCTGCTCCAACTAGCTGGGTGACCATGGGCATGCCCTTTTCTCTCTGGGTTTCTATCTTACCATTTGTAACATATGAGGCTGACTTTGATCCCTGAGTTCTGTTCCAGTTCTGAAATCCCATGGCTTACTAAGATCAAAGCAAGTTGATTATTAATTGACGTGTTTTGTAGATGGAGGGCTCAAGAAGGACTTAGGTTGGCTTATAGAATTAAAATACACTTAAATCAGGATGGTTAAAAATAACAACATAATTAAAAATAATAAAAAGTGATGGAAAAGAGATGCTTCAGACACCAAGACTGAGTTAGTCACTGATGGTCTGTGCTATGTTTGGAATCCTAGAATCCTAGGATGTTGCAGCAGAAATCAACCCAAGAGAACATGGGCTATCCACATGCATCCCAGCTTCTTAAGTTTCTGCTCTGGAGCATTCTGCTAGTTAGAATATGCTACTTCCAAATGAACAGACTTGGGTATATCTTTCTGACTCACAGGATTGGTGAGTTCAGAGCATCCTGGCTGTTATAACATGAAAAGATTTGTTAGCTCCACCAGGAGTGGACTTTGTGTCTGATTTTCTACCTGCTGCTGTATCCATAGCAGCATTCCACTTTCTCCAGTGACAATGATTCTTCTCCATGTGGTATACAGACAGGAGTTTGTGTTATAGATAATTTTCTATAAATATAATCTTTCTTTGTTCTCTTAATTTCCTGGTGAAAAATTGGCAAAGGCGGTGTTATTTTCATAGTATATCTGAGTGAACAGGCCCAGAAACGTTGAGTATTTTGCCCAAAAGAGTGCACTAGCTAATTAGTGGAGAATTGCATCTGGGACCCAGTTTGTTGACCCTGGAGTGTCCAGTGCTTGCCTTGGGGCCATCACTATGGCCCGGGCCCCTGGTGACTCCAGAGTTCTAATGTTGTAGGACTTTCTCCTTACTTCAGCTAAAGATGGGGTCCTTGTCACACAGCCATGAAATATTAGGCTTACAGACACTTTGAAGAATGAGAAAAACATGGAATTTATTGGGCAAAGAAAAGCGGGGGTGGGGGGAGGGAGAAACAGGGACCTTCAGCAGGGTAAGACTCCTGCCAGTATATGCTTCCCACCTCGCAGATTGCATCCCAGATTCCGCCCAGGAAGAAGAGGAGCCAGGCTCCTCCTCACTGCAAATGGTGCAGACTTCTGTGGCACCACTCCAGTGCTCACTCCTCCCAGTGCAAAGGCTGGTTTGAGTTTTTCTGGGAACCCCTTTGCACTTGGCTGTCTCACTATGTTGATGTGTCAATGGTCCACTTATTGAGAAATAAAGCAGCTTGTTTAAGGTAGTCTGACCCTTATATGGCTCAGTGACTACCAGAGCGCACCTCTGGAAACAGAGTGCTGGTGGACTCCCCAGAATGTCTCCCTGCTGCAATGCAAGGGCTTGAGTTTGAATGGTATCTTCTCAGATTTTATTTTAAGCTCCGCAAGTATGTAAAGCTTTGTTATGTGCTGCACAGGTCTTGGAATTGAGACTGATGGTATTGTGAGAAAGCCAGAGTTTGAAGCAGGTTAAACCTTTCTGAGCACAGCAGGGGCTTTTCATCAAATTGAGCTGCAGGAAACCATTTAACTGGACCATATTGCTACTGAAAATGTCATCAATCAATCAACAAGTATTTCTTGAGACAGCAATGTGAGAATTCAATGAGATCATCTAAGTGACAGGTATGGGAAGGCAGCATAGTACAAAGAAAAGACAGGGACTTTAGAGACATTCAGAAGCAAGTTTGAAGACTGGCACCATAACTTATGAGCTATGTAAGCTTGGCCAAATCACCTAACCTCACTAAGCCTCAGTTTATTCATCTGTAAAATGGGCAAAATAGCTACTTCATCAGGCTTTTGGAAAGCACTTCTTTCCCATTAATTTTCTATTCCTTGTCCAACATTTAAAAAATTGGCCGGGAGTGGTGGCTCACACCTGTAATCCCAGCACTTTGGGAGGCTGAGGCGGGCAGATCACGAGGTCAAGAGATCGAGACCATCCTGGCTAATCTCTCAGATATACTGTGACCATCACTCAGATATACTATGAAAATAATACCACCTTTGCTAACTTTTCACCGGGGAATTAAAAGAACCAAGAGAGATTATATTTAGAGAAAATTGTCTATACCACAAACCCCTGTCTGTATGGTGAAACACTGTACAAAAAATACGAAAATTAGCTGGGTGTGGTGGCACACGCCTGTAGTCCCAGCTACTCGGGAGGCTGAGGCAGGAGAATGGCTTGAACCTGGGAAGCAGAGGTTGCAGGGAGCCGAGATCGAGCCATTGCACTCCAGCCTGAGTGACAGAGTGAGACTCTGTCTCAAAAAAAAAATTATAAAGTGATAAATCATTGATAATTGTCAGTTAATCATTTCTATGTACTTGGCATTGTGCAAGGTGATGAGAGACATAGGGAAGAGGGAAACATGACTTCCTTTCTTCTTATAGAGAAAAGATAATCCAACAAATAAGGAAAGATACAGGGAGAGAAGTGATTGAGGGTTAGCAACAAATTCATGGAAAAGATGAGGATGAAACTTGTTGGATGGATGAGAACATGCCATGATGAGGGAGATAGAAACTCCAGGTGAGCGAGATAGTAGAAGCAAAAGCTGAGGTATTTGTAGAATAGCATGAAGGCTAGTATAACCAGAAGGGACAGGAAATGAAGGAAAATAATGATAAATATTGCTCAATGAATGAGACAGGAAGAAGAGTATTTAAAGTTGGTCCACAAATTTAGACTTACTACACTACCCGGTACAGAATGTTTTTAGCTTTCAGGTTGAGTATTAAGCCTGGGGGCTGGAACAATGTCTTATCTCCTGTACTGAATTTTCATAAAGTTGTTAGCATAGAGCTAATTTTTAAGGGTGCTCAGTCGTCCTGTATGAGATAAGAAACAGGTGTTTTTGGAGGGCCAGCCTGGTAATCGTGTATGCAATGTAGACCGTCATACTAGACACCACATGACTAACCTGGGCCAAGGGAAGCAATTAATGAGGCCAAATGAAGTTTGTGTTTCCACATTGATTCAGGCTCACTGGAAATGATTTCATTGAAAGTTTTAAGTTATGCTTTTTTGAAAATACAAAAAGTGTATGTTTGTTGAAAAAACAACAATACAGAAGGTTCCCACTCATTTTATTCTCTTCCAGCCTCTGCCACTTTAAAAGGTTTGTTGTGTTCCCTTTCAGATTATTTTGTAGACCTGAAAATCCATACATAGCATACACTAATGAAAATATATACAGGCTGGGTGCAGTGGCTCACACCTGTAATCCCAGCACTTTGGGAGGCTGAGGCAGGTAGATCACCTGAGGTCAGGAGTTCGAGACCAGCCTGGCCAACATGGTGAAACCCTGTCTCTACTAAAAATACAGAGAAAAAAAACCATTAGTCGGGTGTGGTGGCGGGTGCCTGTAATCCCAGCTACTCAGGAGGCTGAGGCAGGAGAATTGCTTGAACCTGGGAGGTGGAGGTTGCAGTGAGCCGAGATCGCACCATTGCACTCCAGCCTGGGCAACAAGAGCAAAACTCTGTCTCAAAAAAAAAAAAAAAAAAAAGAAAAAAAATATATACATACATAACATATATACATAATATAAAATATATAAATAACTTAATATATGACTAAAATACATAACAATTTACATATAATCCTTTAAATCAGTTGTACTGAGGTATAATTTCCATAAAACAACATGCACTGATTATATTTTATATTTCTTTTTCTATTGATACATAATAGATGTATACAGTTTTGGGGTACATACAATAATTTAATATAATTTGTAAAGATCAAGTTAGCATACTTGGACTATCCATCACCCTAATATTTACCTTTTTTTAATGCTAGAACTATTCTGATTATTCTCTTCTAGCTATTTTGAAATATATAATAGATTATTCTAAATGATAATCAACCTACGGATCTATCTAACACCAGGTCTTACTGTTAGATAAGTGTTAGGTTTTCTTCTATCAAACCACATATTTATACCCATTCAGCAACTTCTCTTCATCTTCCCTACAATCCAACCCTTCCTGGCCTCTGATAACCACCAGTATATTCCCTGTCTTCATGAGGTCCACTTTTTTAGATCCCACATATAAGTAAAACATGTGATATTTGTCTTTCTGTGCTTAGTTTATTTTGTGTAACATAATGACTTCCAGTTTCACCCATGTTGCTGCATATGACAGGATTTTATTCTTTTTTCATGGCTGAATGATATTCCATTGTGTATATATACCACATTTTCTTTATCCATTAATCTGTTGATGAGCACTTAGGTTGATTCCATATTTTGGCTGTTCAGCATAGTGCTGAAATAAACATGGGAGTGCAGATGTCTTTTTGATATATTGATTTCCTTTCTTTTGTATACATACTCAGTAGTGGAATTGCTGGGTCATACAGTTCTATTTTTAGATTTTTGAGAAATCTCCATACTGTTTTCCATTTTGGCTGTACTAATTTATATTCTTTTCAGCAGTGTATGAGGTTTCCCCTTTCTCTGTATCCTCACCAGTGGCCATTATTGCCTTTCTTTTTGATACAAGCCACTGTAACTAGGATGAGATGATATCTTGTTGTAGTTTTGATTCACATTTCTCTGGTGATTACTAATGTTGAGCATTTTTTTGATATATCTGTTGGCTATTTGTATTTCTTTTGAGAAACATCTATTCAGATCTTTTGCCCATTTAAAAAATCAGATTATTTGTCTTTTTGCTATTGAATTGTTTGAACTCCTTATATATTCTGGTTATCAATCCCTTATCAGATGCATAGTTTGCAAATATTTTCTCCCTTTCTATGGGTTGTCTTTTCACATTGTTGATTGTTTTCTTTGCCATGCAGAAGCTATTTAGCTTGATGTAATCCCATTTGCCTATTTTTGCTTCTGTTGCCTATGCTTTTGAAATTTTACACAAAATAAAATCTTTGCCCAGACCAATGTCCTGGGGCATTTCCACAATGTTTTCTTCTAGCAGATTCATAGTTTCAGGTCTTAGATTTAAGTCTTTAATCCATTTTATTTGATTTTAGTGCATGATGAGAGATAGGGGCCTAGTTACATTCTTCTGCATATAGTTATCCAGTTTTTCCAGCAGCATTTATTAAAAAAAAACTTTCCTTTTTTCCATTCTATGTTCTAATACGCCTTTGTTGAAGATGAATTGGCTGTAAATACATGGGTTTATATTTGGGTTCTCTATTTTGTTCATTGGTCATCTATGTGTCTGTTTTTATGCCAGTACTGTGGTGAAAATGCTGATTTTAAATTTAGTGTTTGATGAATTTTGACAAATGTATATACTTCTATATAGTTTTAAAATATAAAAATTGGATCAGGCTATACATACTATTTTGCAACTTGCTTAGGCATTCAGTAATATGTCATGGACTTTTTTTCGTGACATTGACTTTTTAAAAATTATTGCATAGTTCCTTAGTATGGATTCCCCACTAACTTACTTAACCATTTTCTAATAGACGGATATTTAAATTCCCTTTAGTTTTCATAATTCAAATGGAGTAATAAAATGCTTTTACACTTACCTTTGACATGTTAACAAATATTTGTATAGACTGTATTCTTAGAAGTTGAATTGTTTAATCAAAATCTTTGAAATTTTTTAAAAAAGGTGCTGAAAAATTGCCTTCCAAAGAGATTATAACAATTTCAGCTCCTATAGTATGAGAGAACACTCTTTTCTTAAAATTTTTTGTAGTTTTGCATATTATCAAACTTTAATGTTTTGCCACTCTGATAGGTGAAAAATGATATGGAGCTGTTGTTTAAATTTGCATTTCCTAAATCACTAGAGAAGATGAGCTTTATTTATGTTTATTAAAGTTTATTTGTATTTTTTTCTGTAAATTGCCTGTTCTTACATTTTGACTATTTTCTACCTGTTTTTCTTATTGATTTTTATAATTCATTTTTTATTAGGTCATTTTTAGACCCTAGTAGGCATCCAAGTTAATATGCTATAGGATACCCTAGAGTGGTGACGGTCTAACTTTACCAGTATCACTCTGGGATCTTGTTAAGATGGAGTATCTGATGCACTGATCAGTATCTGTATTAGTATCACTTTGGGATCTTGTTAAGATGGAGTATTTGATGCAGTGGGTCAGGGAATGGGGTTGAGAGCCTTCATTTCTAACAAATTCCCAGGAACTTCCAGTGCTACTCCTCCACACACCCTACTTTGAGCAGCAAAGTCTTTGGGTTTATAAAAGTTTTGTCTGGCAGGATTCTATCATGCTCAAGGAGCAATCTGTGGTAGGTTTTTCTTTTGTTAAATAAAAGCTCTAGTAGTGATTGGATGAAAGTGATCTGTGTGGCAATAAGAAGCCATCTTAGTTGTGGAGATGACTGGAATTGCAGTCATTCTAGGGCACTGATGGGGTGCTGATATGGGGGGAGGATGGCCTTTGAATTTTGAGTTTAAGTCCAGTCTCTGCATACTTTTAGGTCCTGAGGCTTACAGTTTCCACCATCACATTTTTTTAAAAAAACAGGAAAGCAATCTCTGTTCTGGTTATTACAGTTTCTTTCTGAAGATCAAAGAATGATTGATATGCTTTTTAAACTCTAACAAATTAGGATATAGTAGTTATTGCACCTGTCCATGCCTTTGAGAATCTGAACAGCAAATATGAAGTACATGGAAACGCAGTCTGACCAAGGTGCACAGTGAAGCCACAGTTCTTGCCAAAGTTTTGTATCACTCCCCAAATTCTTACTTAGGCAAACTCTCTGATTTAGAGTTTGGATTGCCGCAGCATATCTGAACCACGTTGGACTTGACTTTCAGGTGACTACTTTGGAAGTTGTCCCCTCAGGACTTCCTGAATGTTTAGCTGCAGCAAATGTCAGATGTTGAACTCTGTGTATAATTCTCAAGCTAGGCCATTGTAGTCATGTTATCTGGATAACACACAGGCACATACACCCTGAGCTAAAATATAACTCCGAAATTACCATGACAATTATAATGCAAGTAAAATTTAGGGTATGGATTGGTTCAGTTGACTGTCTATGGCAGACAGTAGCAAGCTTTTCACTAACCTTGTTTCCTCCTCTTTCAGAACACACAGCTATACAACATTCCCCAGCCTTCTTTGCAGATGGATGATTAGGTCCTAACCAATGGATTATGAGTGGAAGTATGTGTGTCATTCTGGACTGAGATTTTTCAGAAGTGAATTTGCCCTTTCCACCCTCTGATCCCCTGTGTTCTGGCTGAATACTGAGGACTCTATGGCCCTAGCAGAGAACTGAGCATGTGGAAGGGTCAAAGGTCTCTGAATCCCATGTGGAAGGCCTGCCCACCAGTCTGTATCACCTATTTTGAACTTTATGTGAGAAAGTTATTTAGCATATTGTGTTTGACACAGTATATATTTTTGGGCTTGTTCATTATAGTAGAGTTACCATAAACTGATGCACGCTCTAATTTGTGTAAATCATTGGGATATTTTCTGATACCTAGCATAAACATTCCAGTTCCCTGAATGATCTGGGATATAGGACAGATAAGTAAAAGCAAAAAGGCGAGCAAGATACCCTCATGCAACTATGAATAGAGGGTTTTAGTTTGAGAAATGGAGCATTTGACATATGGAGGAACTTCTGGCTGTTCTTAATATCAAAACTTCATTGATTTGTCAATAATTGTTGTGAAACTGAGAAACCAGGCAGTGAGAAACAGTTAAAAATGCTCCATGTGATTCCTCCCCACCTCATCTCCCTTTAATTTCATTTTTTCTCCTTAGGCCTGGAACAAGATGGCTGTTTTTTGGAGAGTGAAACTGAGTGCAAGTCATGTAATGTTTCTGTATGATGTTTTTGGCAGTGATGATGAAAATTCTAGACTGAAATGATATTGCGTGAAGTCTGGACCAATTGCTGTGTTAAAGTAGAATGAATTTCCTCCCTTTCTGCTGTCTGGATCAATTTTGGGGGCAGTTAGAGAATTTAGCCTTTCAGTTGAAGCAACATATTGTACTGATAACATGCAAAAGTACAGTCAGTCTGATTGGACTCACTGGGCTTTTCCAACTTGCTGCTAATGTGATCATTAGGAGAGCTTCTGCAAAATAAATATAACTCACAGAGGTTTGTTAAGAAGGGTTCCAGATTCCATTGACCAACAGAGGAATGTTTAATACTCTACTATAAATAACAACAACAAAAAGATGCTATCCCCTCCCCTGAAAAAAAAAAAAAAACCTTGGAATTCTGAGTCCCACCTGTTAAATTATTTGTTCTTCTAAAGCCGCAGAAATGAAAGGCGTATGTTCAACATCATTTTGGACCCATTTTCTGTGGCGGGAAACCAAGGTAAACACATTTTTCCTGATGTAATTGTTGATATTAGTTCAGCTCATATGATGCAGGCATAGCTGTGTGAACCATTTTATTTGAACCTGTCCTCGGCTGGAGTTGGACACAATAGTGGGAAAGCCTAAAGCCACTATTCTGGGGCTCCGGATCTTTTAGGGAGCACCACGCCCAGACATTGCTGCTGTCAAGGTGTCCTTTGGATTCCTGGTCTTGGCTCTGTTTTCTTCTCATTTGTGTTTGGGAACATTCAGCTTATTTCCTCACATGGGTTATCTCTGATTTCTTATTTGTCTCATGCCTGGGCATTTTCATTCTCCTTTTCAAATTATACATAGATACATATATATGGTTGTTTACAGTTTTTTTCTCTTCCCCCTTTTTATCTTCTCCTCCAACTCTTTCCCCTCCTTTAATATAGTTAATAAACTAATATGTTTTCTTTTTCAAGATTCTCCATGCTTACATATTTACAACAAACACATTTGCTCACCTATATTTTCATTTTTTTGATGTCAGTTAAAAATCCTCTTTTCTTTATTCTTCTAGTTTAACAATAGTTCCCAGGCTAGCATATGGGTTTTGTTCTCAGGCTAGCCTCCCAAAGCACATTTAGCCTGTGCTATAGTTTATTCCTTTATTTGTTTATCCCACAAATATTTTTTGGACCACTTTGAGCCCACAATGGCCCAGACATTGTGGATACAAAGATAAAATTGGTACAGACCCTGATTTCTGGGAGTTACAAGTGTGTGTGCATAGTGCTGTGATAGAGAACTCAGAGAAGGGGCATCTGACCAACCTGGAGGGCTCAGACCCTGATGATACCACTGAGCTTACTGCTTTTCTGGAAGAACGTGTTCCCAACTCCAGTTTTGGCTCAAGGTGGGAAGAGGATTTGGCATGAGCAGGAGAGGGACTGTGATGCACGGGGTGAGACTCCTCCTGCCAAGGAGTCCTGGACAACTGTGGTAGTGGAAGAGATCAGATGGGCAATGGCTGTTGAGCACGAATTGTCTACAAGTCTTGCATTTGTAAATCAGGCACCTGACATGAGGATGTCTGTCCTGCATTGCCTGTGTGGTTACTTCACATGTGTCCTGACCTTCAAATCAGACTGTAACTGGACTGCACAGAGGAGACACATGAGGCTGTGTCTCATGTGTCTTATGCTTTTCCTGCAGCACATAACCATGTGGTCCTGGAGCAATTACATTAAATGCTTGTGCTGCTGACCAAAGAAATAGAAATAAAATTGTGAATGAACATTTACATATAAAGCTACATTTCCCATGGACTTTTCAATATGTTTTTTTGACATAGCTTCTAATAACAGAAATGTCTTTACTTGTGAAACATTTATAGATCACAAAATGTTTTCTAATACGTCATAGCATCTTCACAATGAACTTGGGAGGCAGACGTCTTTGTTAGTATCACTGTTTTACCCTAGTGTGAAACATCTGAAGCGTAGGCTTTTAATCCTTCAAGACAGAGGGGCGGTTGCTGGGAAGACCTGGGGCTCCAATTCTGGTCTTCTAGCTTCAGGGTGGGCTCTTCCCAGTGTGATTTGCTAAATTACACAAAAGTAGCTCAGAGAATGAGGCAGCTGTCATGGTCCTGATTTGGTGCAGCGTCTCTTAAACTTGTAGAAACTCAGCCTGCAGTGTCAGGGAGCTAGCCTTCACCACAGTGCGTGTGGACAGCTGCAACTGTGGGTGATGGGGGGCACTCACTGGGGCCCCAGAAAGCCGGGGATACAGCCATGGTCCCAGGCACCAGACTAGGATTGCAGTGCCAGGAATTTCACCGTTGGCAAAGCCATCTGTTGAGTTAAATGTTGCCTGCCTCAGTCTTCTGTTCAAACCAGAGATGTCTGTAAGAGGGGAAGATGATAAAGGTTGAAGTCACCAATTAATGTCCCAGCAGTATCAGTTGGGTTATAAATTACTCTCCTCTAGAGCCATAGGGAAATGATCTAGCCCTAAGGTGATACAAATTTGTTTGTTTGTTTTAGGAAGATTTTGGAGCCTACAATGTGATTCAGGAGAACAGAACAGTGGGCCACATTGGGGAAAGAAGTGGAAGGGGAGCTTGGGGGAAGATTTTGCTGCTTGATTCTTGTGCTCTTAGCCAGGAGGCTTTGAGGTCCATCTGATTTTGGACAACTGCTCCTTGGAGTGTCCCTCAAACATCATCTCCATGTTTCTGGGGCTGCTCTGGGAGAAAGCAAAGCAGGCAGGACTAGGACTTTCTTCCTGTTGAGGAGATGGGTGTCAGGCAGGCAGGAGGAAGCATAGAGCCTAGGTGTGTTCTGGGAGAGAAGGTAGCTGGGCTGTGGTTACTCTGGGGAAGCAACCACAGGTTTCTTGATTTTGGAAACAGGGCAGCCTCCTGTGCTGAAGTGTCTGATTCCCAGTATGGCAAGGTCACTTCGGTGCCAGTGGCCACCCCCAGGTTTGTAGGTGTGTCTGTTGTGGCAGGGGTTGGCAGCCATCCTCAGCCCACTGTGGACCCTACAGATACTCATAGGCTGCTTTTCCACTACTTTCAGGAAAAACAAATAATCCTCAGCACTGAAGTTCAAAGCCATGGTTCCTGCGTGTTCCTTAACATGACACAGGTGGGCCTTCATTGAAAACACCTTCAGCTCCTCCAGCTCAATTCTCATGAAAACAAACAGCGGTGCCCTTTGCCCAAGGTGGAAGAGGTGGCCGTGAAATCCTCATCAGCTTCCTGTATATTGCAGAACCTCAATCAGGCCGTGCTGCAGGGGTGAGGACCTGGTCGTCCACCTGGAGCTCACCAGGGGAAATAGGGGCAGTGTCCCGCAGGCAGTGAACTGGCACAGCACCCCTGCCCCTGACCCTCGCCATTGCCATTGTGATGGGGGAGGGGTCAGGGCCCCTCTGCACAGTCCAAGCCACAGCAAAATCTGGGAAGTCTCCTGGTCTTTGCCCAGGAAACAGCCTTCCTAGACAGGCTCTGAATTATTCACCTCTTCCCCTTCATATTACAACTGCCACTCAGACGTGAAGGTGCAGCACAAAGCTTCAGAAACAATGGAAGAAACTGAAATCAGGATCCTGACTCCTGCATGGGAAAGCTATAGCTGTGTGACTTTGTGCAAATCACACACCTGTTCTGTGTCTTGCGTCTGCATCTGTGAAATGCAGGTGAACCTAGCACTTACCTTTGAGGGCTCCTTGGAGAATTAAATGAATTAATTCATACAAAGGACTTAGAGAGATGTCCGGCACTGAGTAAACACTCAGTGCTAGCTGTTATGATGATGATTAAAGATAATCAAAGCTTGTGCTTTTTAATAGACAATTTTTTTTGGAACAGTTCTAGATTCACTACAAACTTGAGAGGAAGGTACAGTGATTTTTCATAGCCTCCCTACCTCCCCCCATCATCAACATCCCCCACCAGAGTGATATGTTTGCTACAACTGATGAACCTACATTGACATACCATCATCACTCAAAGTTCATAGTTTACATTAGGGTTCACTCTTGGTGCTGTGCATTCTATGGATTTGGACAAATGTATAATGCCAGGTACCCACAATTATAGTATCATACAAAATATTTTCACTGCCCTGAAAATTCTCCATGCTTCTCTTCTTTATCCCTCCTTCCCCGTAGCCGCAAGCAACTACTCATCTTTACAATCTCCATAGTTTCGCCTTTTCCAGAATGTTACATAGTTGGAATCACACAGCATGTAGCCTTTCAGATTAGCTTCTTTCTCTTAGTAATATGCACGTATGCCTCTTCCATGTCTTTTCATGGCTTGATAGCTCATTTATCTTTAGTACTGACTAATACTCTGTTGTCTGGATGTACCACAGTTTATTTATTCACATACTGAAGAACATCTTGGTTGCTTCCAAGTTTTGCCAGTCATGAAGAAATCTGCTATAAACATTGTATGCCTGTTTTTGGGTAGAAAGCCTTATTTTTTATTACATTAAACATGTAATATATGGAGTTTACCTCTGCCATTTCAGAGTGCCCAACACACAGCAGGATTGTTACTTGGTTTTCAACTCCTGACTCTTTTCCAAATGTCTAGTGCAGATTTCTGTGCCTAGGTGGGTAACAGTGGGAACTTCTGGGACCCCCAGCTGTTGGTCTGACCTTCATTCAGTATCCTTCTGGTCAGTCACATCTCTCATCTTTGCATTTGACTCTGCTCTTAATGCCAATGAATCTAAAAACTCAGACATAGCTTGTCCCTACATCTTTAGTGAGTTTGTTCATGCTTTCACAATAGTCTTGAATTTCAGGAAAAAAAGTATATCATTCAATGATGGCAACATAATGCTGCAGAGTTTGGTTACATAGAATATTCTGATGCATGAAAATGATGTGCAAATAAAAAAGTGATAAAGATGGTCAAAGATATACAGGAGGCACTACTGATAGAAATGAGTTTAAATTTAGGAAAAAGGGCAAATTTACTTAGGGAATAGAGGTGCTAGAAATCTATAATGAAATTGCCACATTACTCTTGAGTATACACAGATTGAAAGACTGTGAAGTGGTGATTGCAAATGTTCAGGGTTTTTTAATTATACTTTAAGTTTTAGGGTACATGTGCACACGTGCAGGTTTGTTACATATGTATACATGTGCCATGTTGGTGTGCTGCACCCATTAACTCGTCATTTACATTAGGTATATCTCCTAATTCTATCCCTCCCCCTCCCCCCACCCCACAACAGGCCCCAGTGTGTGATGTTCCCCTTCCTGTGTCCATGTGTCCTCATTGTTCAATTCCCATCTATAAGTGAGAACATGCAGTGTTCGGTTTTTTGTCCTTGCGATAGTTTGCTGAGAATGATGGTTTCCAGTTTCATCCATGTCCCTACAAAGGACATGAACTCATCCTTTTTTATGGCTGCATAGTATCCCATTGTGTATATGTGCCACATTTTCTTAATCCAGTCTATCATTGTTGGACATTTGGGTTGGTTCCAAGTCTTTGCTATTGTGAATAGTGCCACAATAAGCATACGTGTGCATGTGTCTTTATAGCAGCATGATTTATAATCCTTTGGGTATATACCCAGTAATGGGATGGCTGGGTCAAATGGTATTTCTAGTTCTAGATCCCTGAGGAATCGCCACACTGACTTCCACAATGGTTGAACTAGTTTATAGTCCCACCAACAGTGTAAAAGTGTTCCTATTTCTCCACATCCTCTCCAGCACCTGTTGTTCCCTGACTTTTTAATGATCACCATTCTAACTGGTGTGAGATGGTATCTCAATGTGGCTTTGATTTGCATTTCTCTGATGGCCAGTGATGATGAGCATGTTTTCATGTCTTTTGGCTGCATAGATGTCTTCTTTTGTGAAGGGTCTGTTCATATCC
The DNA here is from genome assembly GCF_000001405.40 of Homo sapiens. Lineage (NCBI taxonomy): Eukaryota > Metazoa > Chordata > Mammalia > Primates > Hominidae > Homo > Homo sapiens. The sequence goes on along the minus strand of NC_000002.12, from coordinate 19,259,693 downwards.
TACACCCACTTGTTGATGGGGTTGTTTGTTTTTTTCTTATAAATTTGTTTGAGTTCTTTGTAGATTCTGGATATTAGCCCTTTGTCAGATGAGTAGATTGCACAAATTTTCTCCCATTCTGTAGGTTGCCTGTTCACTCTGATGGTAGTTTCTTTTGCTGTTCAGAAGCTCTTTAGTTTAATTAGATCCCATTTGTCAATTTTGGCTTTCATTGCCATTGCTTTTGGTGTTTTAGACATGAAGTCCTTGCCCATGCCTATGTCCTGAATGTTATTGCCTAGGTTTTCTTCTAGGGTTTTTATGGTTTTAGGTCTAACATTCAAGTCTTTAATCCATCTTGAATTAATTTTTGTATAAGGTGTAAGGAAGGGATCCAGTTTCAGCTTTCTACATATGGCTAGCCAATTTTCCCAGAGACCAATGACTTTCTTCACAGAATTGGAAAAAACTACTTTAAAGTTCATATGGAACCAAAAAAGAGCCCTTATTGCCAAGTCAATCCTAAGCCAAAAGAACAAAGCTGGAGGCATCACGCTACCTGGCTTCAAACTATACTACAAGGCTACAGTAACCAAAACAGCATGGTACTGGTACCAAAACAGAGATATAGACCAATTGAACAGAACAGAGCCCTCAGAAATAATGCCACATATGTACAACTATCTGATCTTTGACAAATCTGACAAAAACAAGAAGTGGGGAAAGCGAATATTCAGTTTTGATGAAGTTGCTTTAAATGATTCGTTTGGAGATGAGGCTGAATTTTTAAAAATATCCAAACAATTTTAAGCAAAAAGAGCAGAAATAAATGCCTGAAAATTATGTATAGAAAAATAGAAAAAAGTAGGACAACTTTATCACCTCAAACCAAGAGTTTAATGAGATATATAAAGCTGCATTAAAAAGCTGAAAATTTGAGAAACTGCTCACATGATGCACCAAAATTTCCAGGAAGAGGAAAACTAGAGATAAGAATTTTCATTTGGCACAAATTTTCCTCTTGAACTACTTGTTTTCAATTAAATGATCAGTTACTCCCTGGAGTAACAATGATGTTAGACCCCTTGAGGTTGACTCTAGATCATTCCTTGGGAAAATGGCGGTGATCCCTTCTCACATGTGAGATGAGGCCAGTCTTACTGGATGGGCTTCCCAACAGCTTTCTCCTTCCCTTACACTGTGGCCTTGGGTAGGTCTCTTTTGCTTTAGGAGCTTTAATGCCTCTATCTGGGCAATGAGGAATGAGGGGATTTGACCACATATTCTTTGAGGGTCTTCTTCCCTTTTATGAGTTTTCAAACACTACTGTGCACCATCAATCTCAAAACAATTACCCAAGACATAATTTTAAAATTATTTTATTTCAGTAGTTTTTGAGAGACAGGTGGTTTCTGCTTACATGGATAAGTTCTCTAGTGGTGATTTCTGAGATTTTAGTGCAGGCATCACCTGAGCAGTGTACACTGTACCCAATATGTAGTCTTTTATCTCTCACCCCACTCCTCACCTTCCCCACCGACTCCCAAAAGTCCATTATATCACTCTTATGCCTCTACATTCTCATAGTTTAACTCCCACTTATAAGTGAGAAGATATGGTATTTGGTTTTCTATTCCTGAGTTACTTCACTTAGAATAATGGCCTCCAGTTTCATCCAAGTTGCTGCAAAAGGCATTATTTTGTTCTTTTTTTTATGGCTGAGTAGTATTCCCTGGTGTACATGTACCACATTTTATTGATCCATTCATTGGCCATTGGGCACTTAGGTTGGTTCCATATCTTTGCAATTGCGACTTGTGCTGCTATAAATATGCATGCACAGGTGTCTTTTTAATATAATGACTTCTTTTCTTTTGGGTAGATACCTAGTAGTGGGATTGCTGGATTGAATGGTAGTTCTACTTTTATTTCCTTAAGGAATCTCCATATCATTTTCCATAGTGGTTGTATTAATTTACATTCCTACCAGCAGTGTAAAAGTGTTCCCTTTTCACCACATCAATCCCAACAGCTATGGTTTTTTTGACATCTTAATTATGGCCATTCTTGCAGGAATAAGGTGGTATCTCATTGCGGTTTTAATTTGCCTTTCCCTGATGATTAGTGATGTTGAACGTTTTTTCATGTTTGTTGGATGTTCATATCTTCTTTTGAAAAATGTCTATTTGTGTCGTTTGCCCACTTTTTGATGGGATTATTATTATTATTTTTTCTAGCTTATTTGAGTTCCTTGTAGATTTCGGATACTAGTCTTTTGCCAAGACATGATTTTGTTAGTCACAAAGTTCCTTTGCCTTATTTCCTCCAGTCAAGGATCATCTTAATGATGAACTCACTAATGCCCAAGCTCAAAAGTGACAGAGAGGATTCTGGGGAGGTACACAGAGAGGCTTCTGATTGTGATCAAAAGAGGTGGCCCACATGTTGAAAATAGCAGAAAGTTTACTCATACAATAATCCCATAAATTGTAATAACTCCCATCAAAAACTGTAAAGGTTGAACTGCTCGTTATACTTTCATGCCCAGCCTTCAGACTGCCATTTTCTGATTGTTTTACCTCCACGGCTGTCCTTAACATACACTGTAACCAATTTTTACTTTGAAATAATCATATACCATTGTGTGTGCGTGTGTCCTGCTATCTGTACATCTCTTGTTCAAGGCAATGTTGAATTGTGCTTGTTTGAGTACATTAACATTTCCCTCTCAAATGGACTTATTTATAAAGCACAATATGTTATGCATAGGCTGACCACTTTATCCCTGTCTTAAAATGAGTGAAGTATATTGGGTGCATGGATAATGATCACTTTTAATTTTTCTTTTTCTCCTCTTTATGGCAGTGTCTGGCAACATTCCCCTATGATTTTATATTGAATGGAATAAACATGTTGTAGGGAGAAAGGGAAATTTGGGATGGAGGGTGATATGAGCAGTTACCCACTCCTTTGTGCAAAGAGAACACTATCCTTGCATCATACATTGAACAGCAGTTTACCAATGATGTCAATTTATTTTACAATGGCCTCAAAATGAGTAGGGATTATTATTCCTTTGAACATGTGAGAAAACAGAGGCCAAGAAAGTTACATTAACAGGTCAAGTATTTCCAACATATCCGTGTATGTAGGCATGAGCACACACTGAGTAATTTGTCCTGAACCACCCCTTTTCTAAGGAAGTCCTTCCTAATGTAATATATCCTGAAGGGCAGCTTCTAGGGCAAAGTAACATGATAGTAGATGGCAGTCTTCCAAGGAGTTACTGGTTTCCCTAGGTCTCTAGTTCCTTGCTTATGTGAGTATTAAGGCAAATTGAGTGGGATATTGCAGCACTGGGTTATCACTCACATGCTAACTTGCGTGGGAAAATGTCTCCCCTGCAAAGATTAATTAAGAATCAGTCCTTTGGAATTCTGTGCTTTAAAGTGAATTACTGGTGGTTTCTGTGAAGTTAAAGGGACAGACACTGCTTTTAATGGTTGTTAAATGGAAACTACAGAGGAGTGTAAGTGGGCGGTACAGCTGCATTTGTAAAAATTCAGGTTGTTTTTAATTAACACCACATGAAGCATCCAGCCACAGCATATTCCCCCAGTTCAATGATGTCTGTAGGTACTGGAGGCCAGAATTCTTAAAATTGCTTCCATGTTGTGCTAGATGCAGCAGTGATTGAGTACTATTGCTCAGGGCAATTGGGGTAATAGGAACCTCATCAGTTAGCTAAAGAGGTGTGGATAGGAGATTGGGGTAAAAAGGTCAAACCTGGTCCAAGGCTGGTTTCAGAGCCAGGTATCCCCACCTGGCAGTAACCAGGGAGTAAGGATTTACCCTTAACAACTCAGCTGGCCTCAAGCCTTCAAGGCCTGGAAAAGGAAAATGCTTCTGGGTTCACATGGCCAGGCAGGCTGGAGTCTAGACACAGGAGCACTGATCATTGCTTTTCCTTTCACAGATGAAGAACTCAAAAGGCACAAGGAGGTTACACCAGTTGTTCAAGGCATGGGGGGGTGGCCCACAATCCTGCTGCTGCTGCTCTTCCCTTCAGGTGGATGACTCAGTCTTTTCCACAAATTTAAGGTAGAAAAGGGTAGTCAGTTTTAATGCCATGCAGAGCAGACTCACTTTGCATTTATCATTGAAAAGTAGGAGGTCAAAGAATTGACAGTAGTTGAATAATCATTATACAGGCAGTCAAGCCTCACTGATTTGAATCAGTGGAGTGGGACTGGTCTGATTATAAAGATTTACAAGAAATGCATCTCAATAAATTTAGGATGCAATTAGGGTCAGATAAGTATGAGATAAGTGTAGGTAAAAAAGCATACTAAGTGAGTGTAAAAAGTCCTCCATGCTTTAAAGTTTTTTTTTTTTTTTTTTTTTTTAACTAGGTCAAGCACAACCCATGCTAGCTAGTTTACACTATTAATTTACTTCTCAGGTAGCTATTGCAAAGATAAATGTAAGCCTGGATTTTGCCCAACTTTTCAGAAATTTGGACTAGGGGAATCTGGACCAGGCTTGAAATGGTGTATGATAAAAGCAGGATTTCATTAGAGTGGGTCAAAAACTAGGGCTCTGAAATAAAGATAGGCATATGAAATTCAATTCAAAAATATTTAATGACATCTACTATGTGAAAAGCACAGGGCAAGGCTGTAAGGGGTATAGAGATGAAGCATATATAGAAAGCAACTTATACAGAGTGGATATAACCCTCACATATGCAACTGTGGTTAATGTGCATGGTAAGAATGGGAGACTGGGATGACCTGACTAGCCTTGGGTGCCTAAGGAGATGATGGGGAGCCAGGGAAAGTTTTTGATTAGGGGAACAACATGACCAGAGCTGTGGTTTTCTTTCTGAATATTTTAAGTTCCAGGGTACATGTGCAGAATGTGCAGGTTTGTTACATAGGTATACACATGCCATGGTGGTTTCCTGCACCCATCAACCCATCATCTACATTAGGTATTTCTCCTAATGCTATCCCTCCCCTAGCCCCCCACCCCTAAACAGGCCCCAGTGTGTGATGTTCCCCTCCCTGTGTCCATGTGTTCTCATTGTTCAGCTCCTACTTATGAGTGAGAACATGCGGTGTTTGGTTTTCTGTTCTTGTGTTAGTTTGCTGAGAATGATGGTTTCCAGCTTCATCCATGTCCCTGCAAAGGACATGAACTCATCCTTTTTATGGCTGCATAGTATTCCATGGTGTATATGTGTCACATTTTCTTTATCCAGTCTATTATTGATGGGCATTTGTGTGGTTCCAAGTCTTTGCCATTGTGAACAGTGCCACAGTAAACATGTGTGCATGTGTCTTTATAGTAGAATGATTTATAATCCTTTGGGTATATACCCAGTAATGGGATTGCTGGGTCAAATGGTATTTCTAGTTCTAGATCCTTGAGAAATCATCACACTGTCTTCCACAATGGTTGAACTAATTTACACTCCCACCGACAGTGTAAAAGTGTTCCTATTTCTCCACATCCTCTCCAGCATCTGTTGTTTCCTGACTTTTTTTTTTCTTTTCTTTGAGATGGAGTTTTGCTCAGTTGCTCAGGCTGGAGTGCAGTGGCGAGATCTCGGTTCACTGCAAGCTCTGCCTCCCAGGTTCACACCATTCTCCTGCCTCGGCCTCCCGAGTAGCTGGGTATACAGGCGCCCGCCACCATGCCCAGCTATTTTTTTTTTTTTTTTGTATTTTTAGTAGAGACGGGGTTTCACTGTGTTAGCCAGGATAGTCTCAATCTCCTGACCTTGTGCATTCTGCCTGCCTTGGCCTCCCAAAGTGCTGGGATTACAGGCGTGAGCCACCACACCCGGCCCTCCTGACTTTTTAATGATCACCATTCTAACTGGCGTGAGATGGTATCTCATTGTGGTTTTGACTTGTGTTTCCCTAATGACCAGTGATGATGAGCTTTTTTTCATCTTTGTTGGCTGCATACAGAATGGGAGAAAATTTTTGCAATCTATCCATCTGACAAAGGGCTAATATCCAGAATCTACAAAGAACTTAAACAAATTTACAAGAAGAAAACAACCCCATCAAAAAGTAGGTGAAGGATATAAAGAGACACTTCTCAAAGAAGACATTTACACAGCCAGAGCTGTGTTTTAAGAGCAGTCACAGATGTGAGAATCTGAACAGGCGGTTAAGGAATTGCTGCATTGTTTGAATGAAAAGCCTGGTCCAAGAATTATAAGCCATGGAAGTTAACTGGATGTGAAGAAAGGAAAAGGCCTCAAAAGAGGCCCTGAGACTTTCAGCCTGGGAGATTTGGCATGATGATAAGGGTCGGTCATGTAACCAGGGAGGGGACTGCATTGAAGACAGTTTTGGCTTTGGACATTTGACTGTGATCCCCGTGGGTTGCACAGTTGGAGACATGCAGTGCACTTGGTATATGGTCTTGACTTTGATGAAGCTGGATCTAAATTACAAATTTGAGAATCAGCTGCACAGAGGTAAGATATGAATGTGGGAATTAGAGGTAGAGAGTGAATAAAAGCAAAGAGCTGGGGTCTGAACAGTGGGTAATTAATCCTATGTTTAGAAAGTGGTACATGTGGTCTGTTTATTCTCTGTACCTCTAACTCTGACTGAGGATAAAAAAGGGACCAGTGAGTTTTTCTGCAACGAGTTATACGATTACGTGGTGCAGTCAATGACTACATTTCCTCTATGCTGACAGATTATCTTTAAATTACAATAAAAATGATCCTATGGTCATTCCCAGTTTTTGCTTTTCTTTTCTCTGTCTGTGCTAAATGCACTTTGGGCTCTTGATTTACTGTTAGAAATTTCCTGTGTAGTTTGGGGCCGAGAGTCAGGGGGTCAGGTTTTGGGATTTGAAACCCAAACAAATCTTTCCCTGCTTCCTACAGTACTCTCAAATTAATTTAGGGGTCAGAGGATATCCTGTGAAAATATCAAGAGGAACCTAGACTTTTGTTTCTGCGGGGATCTGAAAGAAACGCACATTTGAAGAAACGCATGAAGTTCATTCCAGGGTAGTCAAATTCTACTAATGACTGAGAACATTTATGTACCAACTATCAGAATCAATTTCTGAAATAAATATGTGAAAAGATAAGCATGCTTAACTTTACTGAAGAAGTTACAGAAGATGAGATGCAGTACAGGAAATCCAAGAACCCAGATCAAACATTAAAACATAAACAAAATAAGAAAATTTTATTTTGGCCCATCCAATTTAACTAATGTTTACCAAGTGCCTACTACACTTTTTGTGCTTTGACCACAAAAAACATAAAGCGTTACCAGAATGTGGATGGGTACTCTACAAAATTAGTCATGATTTCTGTTCTCAGGGAGTACACTAATGTGTGAACTTATATATAAATAACAACAATAGCAAAGACAACAATAAACCAACTGTAATGCAATGTAAAGTGAAATCAGTGGTGAGCTGAGTCAAAGAAGCACAGAGTATGAGGGGTGATACCATTAGTTCTGACTAGAGGATCAAGAAGGTTTTCTCGGGAGAGGTGGCCTTTGAGCGACATCCTTGAGGATAGTAATGGCAAGCACAGTAGTAGGTGGTGGTGGTGACGATGATGATGATGGTGAAAAGAGCAGCTGCCAATCACTAAATTCTTATGATTTACCTAGCTCTATATTGTTTGCTGAAGAACTTCTATGTTATTAATATTTTAACTGGTAAAGCACAGGAAGGGGATTTCAGATAATAAAAAGAATGGAATAAACATGTTTGTGTGTTGGTAGGTGTAGAACGGAGAGTCATTTGGTGTGTTCAAGGTCCACTGTGCATGGTGGGTTGTAGTACAAAATAAGATTGAAAGAGGAGTAGGAACCAGAGCAGCAAAAAGCTGCCAATGCTTTATGAATTACACAAGTCATACGTAGAGCTCTCTGGTTACTTGTGTGGAAAGTTGACCCCACTGAGCTAAGCAGGATGGGCTTGTGGTGTGTGCATCTGTCCTCTCAAACCGAATGAAATGCTCTCTGGCATTGCATAATCAGCAGCAAATCTTCCTCCTCAAGGCTTATGAAGAAAAGACCTTGAACCCAGTCTTCTGGTGGCTCTAGTAAAGACAGATTTGGTGACGGCCTAGAAGATTTCATTAACAAAGGATGGCCAATACATTACAATCAAAGAAAAAGCTGGGCATTGCTTTCTCAGATGATATGGTTCTTTTCCACTTTAATTCACATGATTCCTAAAGCATCTGGCTTTCCTCTATTTTATTTTAGGAATTCCATATATAACTAAAATAACCTACAAGCACCTCGACATTTTGCTAACAAAAAAAATACTTTTTATTATTTTTGAAATCAACTGATTCCACAGTTTAAAACACAGTGGGGAAAAAAAAGCCTATTCATGCTGTAGGTGTCTTTATGGGAAAAAATTCAGAGAATTCTGATAGCTCTGAAAGAGATAGGAAAACAGAAAAATAATGACCCCAGGGAAAGATATTATATTTTTAAAACAAGTTGAAATATCTTCAAGATACTAATTGTGGTCTCTTTCTTTAAAGTATGTGGTCATTTGGGGAATAGGGAGGGAATGCATGTGTGTGGCGGGAGGGTTTAATCAGCTTGATAAAGCTCCTCGGTTTATTCCAGTTGGGCTGAGTCCAGTTGAGATTAGGAAGGAACAGAAAGGTTTCTCTATAGAACAATTAGTGGGGTATGAGGAATATTCAGTTGTGGTTTTTAGTTTTCATAAATCTCAAGCAAAATGAAGAAATAACAATGACAAAATAAATACAACCAAACATTCAAAGACTCATATCTGCATTTTTACAAGATTTTGGAGACAGCAAAATCATATTTGGGACTCACTTCTCTGGACCCTGATATACAGTATGCTTGCTCTCAAATGTAGAATTCAGATTTCTTCCAAGGTCCCTGGGCATTCTAGGAGCAAAGGCACATTCAGATGCAGGGACCAGACCAGTTTCCTAAGTTTCCATGCATCCATGAGTTTTGGTTTATAGTGAAAAATGTTATCTTTAAAATTCCAGACATTTCTAGGCAAGCTGTTAGCATGAAAGTTGCTGTTTCTTCCCTTTCGAATTCACCTTGAAGCAAGCAACAGAATATGCAGAAAAGAGGAAAAGAAATCTTTATCAACATGAGTGAATAGTAAAGGGTGTCATCCACATGCTGGACAGTTGGGTATTTGGTTAGATGTAATGCAACCAGTATATAGTGGAATGAGCAAACTGTTGTAAAAATACTGAAATACTTTTATACTGGTTGTCATACAGGTACTTCCTGGAGTGTCTTGAGTGCTCTCATGCTGTCCTTGATATCCAGGTGGTTACCTCCTTTGGAAACCCTTGAGTCTCCCCATGGACCAGCAAATGACAAGATAATGCTTGGCAGAGTATAGTGATATCTAGAGTCTGACTTCAGTATTACAGTTAATGTTCATTCTAATTGTCCGAGCTGTTAAATTATAGTTTAAATGTCAGCACTCTTGATTTGACAGCTGAGATGGTGTATGAGGGAAGTATTATTGTTATTTAGTGTTTATCTTCCCAAAACAATATCTGCTTCTTTGTGAGAACTGCTTTCTGCCTACATCAAATATGAAGTTCTGATGGGGGATGACAAATAGCTCATTATTCCTTTGGCTACAGTAATTGGTTGGTTCAGGGATGGCCCTTTAACTCAAGCCAGGCCAATAAAATAATTTGTTGGTGTATTTGTTATTTTTTAACAGGAGCTGCCACTGTTAGGTTACAAAATAGAGGATACTGGAATTCTCCACAACAATGATCCTACCACATGAAGGAATTTGTCTAAAAATAAATAAATAAGTAAAGGTATACACCAGGAGAAGCAGAGTTAGAGATTCCAGGGAAGTCCTCAGAATGCTGAGTACCTGGGTCTAGTTGTTTATACAGATCCCATTCTGTCCCCATCCTTTCTGATCCTGTTATAGTTTGATTTGGATATTTGTTACTTTCAATAAAAAAGTCTTTACATAAGAAGTAAATGAGAGGGAATCCTAGGAGACCCCCTGTGAATACTCCAGGTGGAGAGGGCACTGGCCTCCATAGAGAGGCAACATTTGTTCCCCATGAGCAATGCAAGGAAGCACAGAGCATAGTTCCTGGTGGAAGTGGTCACACCTACCCAAGACATGGACATGGGTCCTGTGTCCCCCATCTGTGCTGAGATGGAGCTTTCAGCTGTAACTCAGATATGACGTCTTCTGCTTCCTGACTCCATATGCTAGGTATTTGGGTTGGTAATCTATTGTGGGGTTGTGTGGGCTTTTTTTTTTCCTGCTTTAATATCTTTAATCTGTGTGGAGTTTCTTCTATTAGTTTCTGCCAGAAAGATGCAGACCAGGTTTTCACAAATCCCAACTTAAATCCTGAATATGGAGCCAATGTCAGATAACATTGTCAACCTTATTGTGTGCTGGGTGCTGTAATTTGCATGCATTGCCTCATTTAATCCATGTAAGGATTTTATGAGGTAGTACTGATATTCCGACTATTTTACAGATGGAGAAACAGGTGAGGAAAGGCCACAGAGCTAAAAAGTGCTGGAGTCATAACTGGAACCCCAGCTATCTGACCCCTTATTTGTATTGTTACACTATGAATAAAGTTTTTAAAATATATATATTTTTAATAGAGAGTAGCCCCAAGAAAGCACTAAACTTCTGGAGCTTAATTTTCGGGGAAGCCTCCATTCTAACCTTGTCCATTCTGTTGCATTCCCCGTGAGCATCCTTAATCTAGTTTGAGCTGGGTTTTTGGCTATTTTCAACTTTCAACCCCAAAGTGCTTGGCTAAATAGAGAATGGAAGGAGACTTTGAAGGCTTGCATGAATACTTAAGGCAGAGAGGTGAACACCAGCTGCAAGGCAAAAGAAGGGAGATTTCTTCCTGCGAGCGGCTAGGCGAGGCAAGATGGCAGACCTCTGAGGGCCTTCTGCCTGTCAGGAGGTGGCTGAAATACCCTGACAGCTCAGAACTGTTTGCTTGAAGTAACTTCACTGTACGAAAATAAGAACATTTGAGAAAGTATTTGATGAGTATTCCAAACTCAGTAGGGGAGTAGAAGCAGTGAAGTAATGGGAGCAAATTATGTATACATGTGTTAAAACATTACATTATATCCCATAAATAGGTGCCGTTGTTATGTGTCAATTATTAAAAGAAAAAAAAAAAACCAAAGACTTTTTTTTTAAAAAAAAAAAAAAAAGGGAGAAAATCAATGTGAATAAATACTTTACCTGAAGTAATTTATGGAAAAATTAAAAATAACTTTTGAAACAGCAAATGGCTGACTTGACACTGTGGAAAACAATGAATGAAGAAACAGGAATTTGACAACAGAACTCTAAGGAAAAAGGAAAAGGAAAGAGATCAGGGAATGATAGCGATATAGAAACTAGATCTTGGAGACCAAAGTATGCACAGTACAAATTCCAAAAAGAGAAGACAGTAAAGATTTGGCAAGGATAAACATAAATAAATGACAGAAGAAAACTGCTGGGTGATAAAAATGGCAAGGAAATAGTAAAAAATGACAGAAAGAAAGACACATATAACAGACTTATACTACAAGGAAAAGTATCACTCAGATTAGTTTAAATTAAATTGAATGTTAATAAGAGACCTAGTCAAGGCAAAATAACAAAAGGATTAAAAATAAAATAATGGCCAGCAATATATCAGAAAACAAAACAGCGAAAGAAATCAGTTAGCTGACCTAGATCTCAGACAAAGTAGAAAATAAGACAAAACACTTTCTCCCCTCATCTCTGCTCACCCCCAGATAAAAAGCTTTCAAGGGGCCCATTCCAAAGGGTCAAAGAATTCATTCATATTGAAAATACGGGATCATGAATTTGTATGTTGTGAATAGCATAATATCCAATAGGTACTGCTCTAACTTAGAAATCGGAGGACAAATTAACAACAAAGCTGTGCTAGATTTAAATATAGCACTATCAATTTATTACAGTTTAAGTAGGCAATAATAAATGAAATAGGAAAACAGGAGTAAGTACCAAGGGAACTAGGGTAAAGAATGAGTTGAATTTTTATGTTAATGATCCACTTTACGTGCCTACAGATAGGGTACCTTCAAGTGTCCTCAGAATACTCATAAACATCGAATTACTCCTATTTTATGCCATAAAGAACATCTCAATAAGAAACACCAACGACCGAACAGAAAGTGTACTGATTACAGTGTCTAACCCAAAAGCTTTAATGAAAAATAACTCATAAAACATTGAGTTATTAGACAGGGCCCTAGGTGAACTCCTAGCCTCTGTTTAGATTGTCATGGCCTTGACTTAGAGGACAGGCATTTTGTACTCTGCGCTGTTGTAATTTTCACAACAAAGGAAACAATATGAAATAATATACCCCAGCAGGGGAGCATAGAAATTTACTGCAGGCAACTTCATGTTAGCTTTCAGAAAGAAGGAAATATATCAAATGATTAAAAAAAATAGAACTATGGAGTTAGAAAGGATGTTAAGTCATCATTCTGTCTGACTCTCATTTTACAGAGGAGGGAATAGAGACCCAGAGATGGTGAGGATGTGTGTCCCAGGTCGGGCAAATAAAACTTGGCTAGTGCCCGAGTCTTCTGGTGGGTTCTATATTCTGTTCCTTTCCTTGCTTTAGGAGTTTGTTATGAAGCGAGGATGGGCAGTACAATGCAGGTTTGGATCACATGATTGGTTCCAGATTTGAGTGACTGTGGTGTGCTCATTTGCCCCGCAGAGCTGAGACTGGCTGTCCCCAGAGCACTTCTTGGATCCGGAGCCTCTGCCCCTGTTGTGAGGGGAGTCAGAGCAATGTGGTTGTTATTACCAGAATCACAGGCTTTCCACCTCTGCCAGGTAACCTGCGAAACAACCTCTGACATCATTAAACGCTGAAATCACTGAACTGTAAACGTGTGTTAGCGGATGTTTTCTGGAACGCTCTCATGACCTCTTTTTGTTGAGGCTCATTTTGTTTTTATTCTTCCCCAGGATCTGACTGGCCTCTCCCCTTTCTGTCCTCCATCACCAGCACCCGGGATTCTGCCTCCTGTCTTTGCATGGTGTTGGGTCGAGCTCTGTCTGTTTCTAAGTCACACCGGGTGGGCAACTGCTTTTCCACATCACCGGGCCAAGTTATGTTTTCTTAATTGTCCGGCTGGACTGCAGTCGCTTACCAGGCCTTATTAACAGAGCAGAGAAAGCAGAGAAATAAAAGTCACACTCGCTTTTCGAGACTCAGCTGAACTAACTGCTTCGGGGGGACCTTGTTTCCAGCCATGAACTTATGAACTGAGGATTTTATGAAATCCAATCCTCATTGTTATTATAGCATAATCCTCTTGCAGTTATCCACCCAATTTTTCTGTAACAGTCACTTCTTCCTTCCTTTTCCTCTCAGGGGGCTCTGGGCATTTAGGCCAGGAACATCCATCTGCTGTTCCCCTCTTTCTGGTAAGATGCCAGGGGCCAAAGCTCATGGAAGCCCACCCAGCCTCTCAACTCTCAGTCATGAATGGGGTGTGATACCTGCAGAGCCCCTCTGGGGTGGAGGTAGGAGGATGCCTATTGAATAAGGTCTCTTCAACTTACTGCATTTTAGTTTTGGCATTTTCAAATGGGTACTTTGTGTTGAGAAATAAAAGCAAAGGGGGCTGGATGTGGTGGCTCACGCCTGTAATCCCAACATTTTGGGAGACCGAGGTGGGTGGATCACCTGAGGTCAGGAGTTCAGGACCAGCCTGGCCAACATGGTGAAACGTCATCTCTACAAAAACACAAAAATTTGCCTGGCATGGCGGCACACACCTGTAGACCCAGTTACTTGGGAGACTGAGGCAGGAGAATTGCTAGAACCCAGCGGGGGGAGGTTGCAGTGAGCAGAGATCGTACCACTGCACTCCAGCCTGGGCGATAGAGTAAGACTCTGTCTGGAAAAAAAAAAAAAAAAAGCAAAGGGCACTATGAGAAGAAGAGGTTGTAGAGATCATACCCTCCAGACTCCAATCCTTGTTTCAGTTTGCTATTTCTACATAGCAAATTACGTCAAAACATAATGGCTAAATAGTCACCATTTATTGGTTCTCGATTCTGATTTGGGCAGGGCTTAATGGAGCTGTCTCTTTCTGTGTCAGGTGGGTTTAATGGGAGCGTTGGTTTTCCTCCATGCATCCTCTCTCTCTCTCTCTCTCTGTGTGTGTGTGTGTGTGTGTGTGTGTGTGTGTGTGTGTGTGTGTGTGTGGTTGCCCACCATTTGCTTGTCTAACCTGAGTATCTTCTTCATGCGGAAAGTGGCTTCTGAGAGGCAGAAGCTCTGCCACATTCTGTGGGTAGAAGCCAGTCACAAGGTCAGCCCATCTTTTAGGGAAGGGCAAGTAGCCTTCATCTCTTGGTGGGAGAAATGGTTTGAACTTGCAGGAATGGGAGGGATGCTTGACACCCTCTTCATTGACAATCTACTGCACTCTGTTTTGAAGAGAGATGCAGTTGAACCCCCATAACACTGAGTGACTCGGCGTATTCGTAGCATAGTTGACTCTCCTGAGTACCAGCAGAAAAAAAGCTCACTTTTCCTACTTTGAGGAAAGAATTGAAATTCCCTCTCAGACTAATCTGAAAATATTAGGGAGTGAGAGGGTAGTAGTGATGGTGAAAGACAGGAGTGAGATGGAAAAGAGACATGTAGTTGGAGGAGCTCTGCCAGCCCATGACTCAGATCCATTAGCTAAATCCAGTTCATGTTTCCATGTGGACTTTTCATAAACCCCCCAGGGCTTATGTTTTTATGTTTGTTGAGTGACTATTGATAACACCACTTCACTAATACTGTTTTTAATCTAGAAATGTGTTGAGTAAGCACCAGAAAAGTGAAGCATTGAGGCTTCTCAGTCTTATACCCGAAGTCAAAAATATGACCATGATACTTTAACTGCAAAAAGTGGTGGTGAGATGAGGAGGCAATATCGTGCTAAAACAGGCTTGTGCAACATGGACAGTCGCTGCCGTGAACCCTGAGCTCAGTCACAGCAGCCTTCTGAGACTCCCGGAGGAGGTGCTAGAGTCTGGCTGTTTCTCTTTTTTCTTTTTTCATTGAGACGTGGTTTAGTAGAAAGTTGAGGGAGTTGGTTTGAGAATGGTATTTTGTGATATGTATTGTGTTTTACATACTTTTACAAGCTGCTTGCTTCTAGTCCAGAAAAGTAAAGGTGTCTATCAGCATGGACTTAGCTTGGAGTAAGGAGGTGTGAGGCTGGTGCACTGCTACTGGGTGGTGGCTCAGGGTTGGGGTCTTCCTATTTGTCCAGTCTGAAGTAGCAGGGAATCCCTATCTTATGCCTACTTTTCAGTGTTCTTGGGTGGTAGCAATGCACAGTTTTGGAAGTATAACAAGTAGTTCTCCTATTTTGGATAAAACTTAGTTCAGGCCATTACACCAATTATATAATAATTGATTCTAAAGACCTTGAAGTCAATAGCTAGATAGACTTCTTTGGTATAAATATTTCTCTGTACAGTACTTTGAGTAATTATTTAAGTTGGAGCATTATTAAAAACATGAAAGTATAAGGATTTATTCAGTTTGTGTTAAATATTTAACAAAGGCCCTGTAGTTACTATTTATCACTTGATTCTCTGAATCTTTGAGTACGTGAGCATCTGCTGTGAGACAATACCTGCCCAGCTCTTCAGGTGTACGCCCACACTAAAAAGTTACATAATGTTTTCCCAGTTGAAAAATTGGGAAGGTGGTGATGGTAAATGTGATAGATGAAGTAATAATGACTGGTGCTGACCTCATACTGGTGATTTTACTCTTTGGATTAGTTTCCCATGGCTGCTGTAACAAATTACCACTAACTTAGTGGCTTAAAACTGCACACATTTATTCTCTGACAGTTCTGGAGGTCAGAAGTCTAAAATGGATCAGCAGGGCTATGCTTCTCTGGAGGCCATGGAGCAAGATCCATTTCTCTGCCTTTTCCAGCTTCTAGAGGGTATCCATATTCCTTGTTTTGCATCCCCACGTCACTCCAGTAGCTTCTTCTAAAACTCCAGCACTCCTCCTGTCTCCCTCTTGTGAAGACCCTTGTGATTACATTGGGCCCACCTAAATACCCAATTTTATGATTCCTAACTTAATCATATCTTCAAAATCCCTTTGGCTGTTTAAGGCAGCAGAGTCACAGATTTTGGGGATTAGGGTGTGGATATCTTTGGGGAGGGAGACATTATTCTGTCTACCCCACTATTGATGTTTGAAACATTCAGATTCCATTAGTTGCAAACATCTACACAGTCTTTTCTACCACAATGTGGGTTTATTTCCATATGAAAAATTGTGTCAATATAATGGTAATTTTTAACTCAACATTTTGGTGTTAATATGCTGGACTGAAGTAATCATTTCACAATGTATATGTCTATCAAAATATAATATTGTACACCTTCAGTATATAAGATATTAACACAAAATAAAAGTAAAACATACCTATTGAGTACCAACCCCTCATAAAAAAAATAAAACAGCAATGAGAAACAAAACAAGGTGGAGCAAGCTTGAAGCTTGTTATCAGTTAAAGAGAAACACTTTGCAATATATGAAAACCTTAAGAAAAAAGCTAGAAATCCTGTATAATGCTTTATTTTGGGGCAAATATGGAATGATATGGTAGCTATAATAACATTGTACTTTCTTCTATTTTAAGCTATTTAGGGAAGCTATAACTGCAAATGAGGAAGCTGTGAATACACTTTCCTTAGTGTTAAAAATTAACTGATAAAGGGGGTTTAAAACTTGAATCATGGAGTTCATTTTGATTGAACTGATCTCTATTAAATGTAAATGCTCTTCAGGACCTATGCCTCAAAGGAATAAATTTAAGAAATTAAACTAAGTTAAATATGAAAATACATAAATCAGAGATGCAAAGGATGGAGTAATTGTGATCCTAGCTGCAAGTACCAGTGGCGATTTACCTCCTCTGTTATTGTATTTTTGATTGTTATTATTTTTTTTCGTGCCCTGGTTGAAATTTCATTTTTTGAGTGGTCTGCCCTTGACCTTATTTCTCCAAATCCCTGCTGCTTTTGATGTGAGCTTTTACAAAATGTGAGGTATATTGGGAACATATATATGACATTACAACTGATAATTCTTAATTTGAATTTCAAGTTCTAGTCAGTTCCCCTCACAGTAACAGATGCCATCCAAGCAACAATTGCTAACTTTGTTTCTCCCGAAAACCTCCATCAAATGGGGACACTTGCCTCCAGGAGAATGGGAGAGCATGTGCAAAATTGGGGAGGACTTAGAAAAGTTTTGTATAGGTAATGTTTGAGCTAATTAAAAAAATGAATAGGCATTATTTTGGTAAGAAAAGATGGGAGGAAGATTTAGAAAGGAGACTAAATCTCAATGAACATCTGTTGGATTCGTTCATAAATTTCTTAGAAAGCATGCAAGTTTGATGGTTTATATGTAACAAAATGGTTTTGTTGTTAAACTTGTTTATTGTATTCTGCTTAGCATCTTGTTGAGATGGACATTAGAGATCTCTAGGATCACAGAAATTTCATTTCCTTGGGAAAAGTGTGCACCAGGATCCTGATTAGGCCTGTGTTTTCCCATCCCAACCTGGCTGTCTGGCACTCACCTGCTAAGAGATCAGGATTGATTTAGAAAAAGCCATCACTCATAGGTGGGAATTGAACAATGAGAACACGTGGACACAGGAAGGGGGAACATCACACACTGGGGCCTGTTGTGGGGTCGGGGGAGGGGCGAAGGGATAGCATTAGGAGATATACTTAATGTTAAATGATGAGTTAATGGGTGCAGCACACCAACATGGCACATGTATACATATGTAACAAACCTACATGTTGTGCACATGTACCCTAAAACTTAAAGTATAATAAAAAAGAAAAAGAAAAAGGAAAAGCCACCTTCAGCACAAATGAAGCAAATCTGTGGGGTTGTCTGCATGGCCACAGGCCCTGGCTAGGAATTTAGGCTCTTTCCATTTGTACAAGAGCAGTTTCCTTTTAAGTTCATAATTGTTTATTCATAAACCTTGAGAGAGAGTGAAAGAAAGAGAGAACAGACTCAGACTCTGCCTGTAGTCTTCTCTTTATCCTGAGATTTCTTTGGGGTAAGATTAGCATGAAGGCCATTTTTTGCTATGGAGGCCAAGTAGACTCGGGAATGGGAAGTGATGCTGGGCACAGAGACCCCTGCCCCTCAAGGTTGGGGGAGGCCTTGACACAGCCCCTCCTGTCTGCCTTAGTTTGGAGAAGAGGCGGTACAAGGGTGAGAGGAGGTGAACTTTTGCTATGCAGAGAGACAAGTCAGACAATATGAGTTTTAATTGAAATCATATCCCCAGCATTTTACTTTTCAAAAGTTGTTAGCATGATCGAGGTTGCATTTTCTTGTGACGACTATTATTACTGTCATACTGACTGCTCTGGGCAGGGGCTGAAGGTTACATGTGGGCTAAGAACGCTGGGCTGCGTGGGAGGGGCTGGCAGACCCAGCCTCTCCATCCCCCAATGCTCCTCTGGAGCCAGGTTCCAAAAACCTCGCCTCTGGCTGTGGCTCTCTCTCTGGACACTGTGAATCCTTCTCTCAGGCTTATGGACCTCTTGAATCATCAGTGTCTTCCTCCATCCTGGGTGGCTGGATTGAGTTCTATGGCTCTTTGATCCAGGAGCAGACTTTTCTGTGAGAGTTTCTCTGCCTGAGAGCATATTCTTTGAGCTCTCCAAGGGTGCCATTCTGAGAGGGGCAGGCTGTAGCTTAACTAGGCCCCCCAACATTTACTATGTATTTGAATCTCTTGGGGATCTTGCTTAAATGTAGGTACTGATTCATTGGGTTTAGTATAGGGCTTAAGATTGTGCATTTTTAATAAGCTCCTAGGTGGATGCCAATGTGGCTGGTCCGAGGACCACACTTTGACTAGCGAAGACTTAGTGTATAGCTGAAAACCGAGTTGGATGAGGCTGCTCGGATGTGTATATTTTTTAGAAACGAAATCCAAGGAGAGAGAACTCAGGGGCTCTCTGTATTTGTGGAGTGCCTGGACCTTTGGTGCTATGTGGGGTGAAACCTATGAGAGGTGAGAAACATAACCCTGCTCCCTGCCCTCAGAGAGTGAAAGCCCTAGTTAGGAAGACAAGGCTGGCACACATGCAACAATCAATCACCTGTCATATTTTATTGCTGCTGAAGTGCCAAAAGCGGAGTACAGACTCCCGTGCTCTGATGTTGAAAGTAGCAGGCAGTCAGAGGGAGGAGGGGAATCGTGGTTCAAAGTGGGGTTTGCTCAGATGTGAGGGTGGTTAACTCAAAGCAGTCAGTGGAAAGGGTGATGCCATGCCAGGCGCGGTGGCTCATGGCAATAATCCCAGCACTTTGGGAGGCTGAGGCAGGCAGATCACTTGAGGCTAGAAGTTCCAGACCAGCCTGGCCAACATGGTGAAAACCCATCTCTATTAAAAATACAAAAATTAGCCAGGCATGGTGGTAGTATGCCTGTAGTCCCAGCTACTTGGGAGGCTGAGGCAGGAGAATCGCTTGAACCTGGGAGGTGGTGGTTGTAGTAAGCTGAGATTGGAAATTGCACCACTGCACTCCAACTTGGCTGACAGAGAGAGACCCTATCTTAAAAAAAAAAAAAAAAAAAAAAAAAAAAAGGTAATGCCCTTTTCACCTTGTTCGCCAGGACATTACTACTCTTATTTCCTGGTCCTGGGTGTCTCCAGTGGTTTCTTTATGCAGACTAAGTGACCAGGAGGAGGGAAAGGACGTCTTTACATTGCCTTGGCCTGTGCTCAGCCCTGTGGGGTACAACGAGGGAAATGTCCTTTTACCCAGGAATCCATTCAGCTAACATCTCCCGAGGGCCCCCTATATTCTAGGCAAAGCCTCTACAAGGTCATAGCTGTGTAGAAATGAGTAGACACTGTCCCCAACCTTTGGGAACTCAGGTTGGTGGAAATTAAATAACATGGCAGATCTGGTTATAGAGAAATTTGTTTCCTGTGAAAAACATGGAACTAAGGAATTCCTTACTATATAAGCAGTGATAGAATTTCTTCAAAATCAGTTCAGGAAAAAAGGATTAATCATTCTCAGTCAAGACATGTTTCTGATTGTTCTGACAGACTCTCTAAAAAAGAGCTCTCCAGAGTCCTCTCTCGCTTCTTTGGAGGTGGCTGTGTTTGGAGTAAAGTATCAGCGTGGCTCTCCAAGCCCCCCTGATTTTAGGATCCTTAGGAAAACCAAGTGTCATCAGTTTGTGCATACCTAAACAATTTAGTGGCTTTGCAGTGAGGTTGTGTAAGTTGGTGGGATGAGGTTATTTTCCAGGTTCAGGTGTCCTTGTGGCCATGGGCCATCCTGTAGCTTCTCTGGTAAGAAGCCACCTCTGACATAATCTGAAGCACAGGAGACAAGCATGAGCCATCGTGCTCACTAAATTAGTTTTTGAGAGGGGATGTTGCCTTAACCATCCTTGGAAGAAAAATACTGTTTCGTCATACTTTTCTTTAAAACGTTTTAGTACTGAAATGACTTTGAATACAATTACTAAGAAGTTCAAAATGTTTAATGGGGTCCGTGGCTGTCAAACTCAAATGCCTGTCACGTTGTCTTTCTAATGTGTACCGAACATTCCTGCCTGGAGTGAGAACCATGAGTGTTATTTTTTTGGCTTGGATCTTGGCAGGTGTGTAATGTGACTCCTGATAGCAGGACAGCAGATTACATTCTGCTATAAAACCATTTCTAAGGCTTTTGGCACCCAAACTGTTATTGCATGTCTGCAGGTGTTTAGTAATTGGATTAATGCAGAGCCGGAGGAATGTCTGCTCCCCGGCTCTGAGAAACATTGAGGAAAGACAAATTCATTTCGGAGAGTGACCTGGAATGCATGATGACAGGCCTGCGCTCACACATGAAGTCAGATCTAAGCCTGCACATTTCAAATGAACTGCTGTGAGCAGTCACCTTCCATAGGAAAGTTTATCCAAAGCTAAATACAATAACAATGGCCTTGTGAGTCAGGCGGGAAGGGGCTTCAGCATGGGTTTGATCCTCTTCCAAAAGCAACTCAGACAACTGGAGCTTAAGCCTTCCTATCATGCAACTCATGAACCCTACAATCCTAGGTGTTTAATAATAATAATTTCTTAAAGGCCTTGGTAAACAGAGGAGGATGCTAAGCCTCTCAGTGGAAGTGCAGAGACCACACTAGTATCCTGGATCATCGTGCCCTCACCCCTTAATTCCCACCTTGACTGTAAAGTTACAGATTTCACTGTGACAAGACCCCCGAAAACAGGCTTGGTAAAATGGCAAGCAGTGTTCACACCTCAAGGCAACCAGGTCCAGCGCCAAGAAGAAGTGGCTGCTCTCAGGGTAATTTTGTCATTCTGGCTAATTGAAGCTTATGCTCTCTTCTGAGAGCAAGAAGCTGAACTCTCAGAGGCTCCCATCTGAGTAGATAAAACCTAATGGTTTGGCCTTACAAACCAAACCTCTTTCTCAGCTTTACAACTCAGAAGGGAGGTGGACCATTTGGAGAGAGTCCAAGTAGAAGGAAGATAATAGTAAAAAGGCAAGTTTTGTGAAGAAAGGCAAAAGAATCAGCACTGCTTAGCTCAAATCCTAGAGGGGTAACTTGTAGTTCACAAATATTATTACAGTAGGTAGTGAGAGCAGAATGGGGACAGATGGGGGAGGATGAAAAACCAGTCATGGCATGCAGAGAAAGAGTTTGAAGCTGAGGGCTTATAAGACAGAGAAAATGAGAAGTTGGAGGAATTTGTGTGTGGAGGCAGGAGCGTGGCCCAAATGGCTACTCATTGAGTCATTATAACTTACTGGTCACAACTACATGCCGGTCCCTGAATGTGTGGGGTGTGCAAAGTGACCCAGATATATTTTTGAAGCAGGGGCCTGTCACTGTGATGTCCTGGAAGAGATGACCAGATGGCTCTGAGGTCCCATGGAGTGTTCCCATGGCCTGGGGCAGGGAAGAGGGCAGTGTGTCTGGGAAGGGGCTCCTCCCCTTTGGAAAACATAAGGCTCCTTGGCTGGGTTGACAGGTTCTAGCTGACACTCCAGTTGGCTTTCCAGCTGTCAGCCAGAAAAACATCTGGGTGAGCCCAAGGGCCATGTTGGGGAAGAAAGGGTCAGGTAGGTGGTGTGTATGAAGAGGGAAGGAAAGGTGGCCTATGAATAACAATCAAACAAACAAAACCAAACAGTAACAACAAAACTTTCAAATGAACCAGTGGTGTCTTGTGGGGCTTGGGCATCAAGGCTGTGTAGGAGGCAGTGAGGTGTCTTTGCCACTCAGCCAGTGCCTGGGGTGTTTGGGGCTGATAAGGGCAATCCTAGGGCAGGTCAGGAGAAGAGAAAGGGGCTGAGGGCTTGAGTGGGATGAGGCCGTCATCTCAGGGCCCAGGAGAAGGAAGTTCAGTGTGGATCACTGGAAAGCGTTGCAGGGCAGGAAGGATCAGGGGGAGCAGCTCTTAGTAGATCACAGCATAACTCCTAGAACAGGAGTTTACATTTTCTCAGTGGCAGAAAAGAGCTTGGATAATCAAGGTGGTAACAAGAGACCATAAGGACTAATGAGACTCCAAAAGCTTGATCTTAAATCCTCATTCAAAATTTGAAAATGAAATTATGAGACTGCTGTCTGAGGAACTCACTGAATGATCTTTGAAAAGTCCAGAGCTGCATAAACCCATAGGGTTAAACTAGAAAAGACTCTTAGAGGCTGGAAGCCCAACCCCATTTGTTTGCAGCTGAGGAAACAGAGAGAATGGGGTTTATCCCTAATCCCCCCATTAGCTGGGCTGACCTGGGACTACCCAGGACTCCTGAAAGGCTGTGGGATGGAGGATGTAAGTGGCGATGAGAGGGAAGCATAACTGCTGTGTGCTTATTTGTACACTGAAATGATCCCATCAACCAGAATATCTTAACTAAGCACATGCCAACTAAGTGCAAGGCATTGAGAAAGGTAGTGAGGTGTTCGATTAAGAGCTTCCAATTCTTTTGGGAGTAACAAGACATCTCTGGTGGAGAGAATAATACTCCACACCACATTAAGCCAGAATGGTACTTTTTGTTTGCATACACAATCTTACAAATTAGGAGGCTTACTAGCCCTCGTATCTTCCATTCTTATCCGAGCAATTATTCACGAACTTCATTTATGAAACCTAAAGGCTCAAGGTGGATTAAACAGTAAACCAAGAGCAGAATGCTTGATTGAATAAGGCCAGGAAGCATGCACACACTGCCCCTCAGCCTCCTCAAATATTATTCTAGAATATGGATTGCTTGATAATTCATTGGGTGGAGAGACCACTTTAGTGGGCATGGTCCTGGATGATTTTGAAGAGGAGCTCAGATAATACGTACGTGTGTGTGTGTGTGTGTGTGTGTGTGTGTGTGTGTGTGTGTATGTGTGTGTATGTATGTGGGTAGCCACAAGAGAAGAGGGAGAAAGTGAGAGAGATGAGAGAAGAGGAGACTCCACAAGGCATTCATAGGCTAGTTATTTGGTAAATCATGGTGTAGCTCCTACTTATGATGCATAAAAATGCATGATTGATATTGGTGGTATATGCTGATGTTTTCTTCACAAACACCTGGGGCCAGGCCATGAAAAGCAGAGGGGAATTACGTAAATTCCTTCAGCTGAGTGTCAGAAAACCTGAGTTCTCTCACCTTCCCAGTTTTGCTAGCTTTCTGTTGCCCTCATCCATGAATAGGGGTGTCTTAATAGACAGATAATTTAAACTTACAGCCAATAGTAATGCTGTGGCCAGGGAGCATCTGGATACCTTCTCAGCTCTGAGTCCAGACTTGTTTAGTGAGGGGAGTCAGGGTGCCCACGAATGGCTGGCAGGACTCCCTGGGCAGGAAGGAAGAGTGCCCTCATCAGACTCCTGTTCTTTGTCAACATTTTCCTTCAGCACCACCCTACCCTGGAAGCTCCTGAAAGAAAAGAGTCACTCTACACTCAAAATCTCTCCTTGTTTACAAGATATTTGGGGCACGGATGGAATTATTGCATCACAGGCCAATTTCTTCACCTCTTTTAAAAATTTTATCACGTGAAGCAGCATGCTGAAAGATCTCAATGCTACTGAAGATTGCAAAACCAAGTGGAGATTCATCTGTTTTGGAACTCTGTCAAAAGACTTTTCCATATACATTCCATTCCCTTCCACAGCTCACAGTGTACCTACCCTGTACTTTCAGAGCAGTGAGGCAGCTTCTTCACCTTTCTCAAGCCAGGGCAGGTCCTGACAAATTACTCTGTGTCAGGATCTTTCCAGGAGACATTTTCCCTGGTAAAATGCTCATGAAACTTCACTGATGTGGACAATCTCTGGTAACAAATCTGAATTGTCAAAGATAACAAAAGCCAAGAAAGCCAGTTGTATACCCAAACTAGACTAATAAATGCTTCCTGATTAATAGAGGGTTTTATGAAATATGTTTAAATAAGCAGATTGAATTGGATCATAATTAACATTACTTATATAATTCATAAAAATAGTTATTTCATTAAATCAGAAAGAAATTTCTACTTTGTTATCCTGTTTGTTTTGCTGATATTTTTAAATCAAAACCCTTTTTATTCAAAGATGTGGCACAGGTAAATTTTCAGCCAGACACTCAATTATCCAAATAACTGACATCTTTCTGCTCTCAGAAAAATGCTCTAGGAACACAGGCTGCTTGTTTCTCTCCTACCTTGGCCAGCAGAGCATGGCAGTGTAAAACACAGAAAATTGGCAAAACTCCATTTTCAATCTGTGTTAGAAACTGGGATCAATCTTGCTTCTCTTTCTCCCTTAAATAGAAATAAGAAATAAAAGAAACCCTTTATGTAAAATTGGATCTTGACATTCTCCAAAGGGTGGCAGCTCCTACATTGCAGATGAAAAGGGCTCAGTTTTCCCAGAGAATACTCTGAGAAAGGAAAGTCAAGGTGAATGAATGGCCTTCTCCTGTGAGTGCAAGAACTTCTCCTCAGCCACCTCCAAGAGGACAGAGGGGAGGCATCTGAAGGTTAGGGAACTGAGTCAGCAAGGGCCAAAGGGACATGACAACCAGAGAGGTTGGGAGTGGGAGCTTTTGCTGAAGTTTCTTTCGCTTGTGTCCTCCCTGGCAAGGGGCTTGGCAAGGCTTCCTGCTCTTCCTTCCCCCTTCTCCAAGCACTGAGAACAAGTCGAAAGAGGAAGCATCAGGGGAAGAAGATACTGAATAACTCCAAACTCAAGCACTGTTTGTTGGATTCATTGATTTACTCATTCATTATTCAAAAAGTATCAGGCATCCTCTGAGTGTCAGGTCCAAGGCCTAGGCTGGAAGTACAGAGATAAATGATTCACAATCACTGTCTCCAATATCCTCCCAGTCTATGGGCCCAAGGAGAAGCTTCATCTTGTCAACCATCTTGGCGTTCTGGCTGCATTTGTATTTGGGCTTCCTCACTCATTGTTGACTTACAGAATCAATCTTTTCCAGTGGATTAGGACCATTAATATCTTATAAGTTGAATAGAAACCAATGTAACCTGCATAAACAAGAGAACTTAGCTTTGGTTCTGCCTCAGGGCAGGCCTAGGGTAAGGCAAGTGGGAGGTATTTTGTACACAAAATTTAAGGAGGCTCTCACTATCAAGGTACTGTGAGTACAGGGTCTGCCTGGATATGGCAGGTTGACACTTTCTGTACCAGTCATTTAAATGCTCTGAGTCTCAGTTTTCTGTCTGTAAAACTGGGACAATACCCATATCATAGAGTTGTGGAAAATTTAGTAATATAATGTTTATGCAAGTACATTACAAACTATAAACAATACATATATACATTGGTTTTATCAATAGTAATAATTTTCCTTAATCATGACATTGATAATAACCATAACCAAAACATCCTTTGCAGTGAATGTAGCAGATTACATGGGAAAGTGGAAGACAGAAATGGAAGAATCTGGTCCTTCACCTTATAAGAGGCAAAAGTTAAATATAACACAGTAGTTAAGTATAGTAAGATTTTGAGCTATAGAGTCAGAGAGACTTGGATGTTAATCCCACCTCTGTCATTTACAAATGTTTAAACCAACCTCTAAAATTCACTTTCCTCATGTGTGAAAAGAGAATAATAATAACTCAGTTGTAGGGTTGTTATTGAGGATTAAATGAGATGATGTGTGTAACACTCTCACCATATCGCTTGATATTTAGAGAGCACTCCACAAATGTGAACTATTATTGTTACATGGAACTGTAACGAACCAGGTCCTGGTGCAGACTAGAATGTCTCTTGACTTTGCTTTTTACATTTTCCATAGCTGAAAGCATATTACAGAATTCTAAATTATAAGGATATTTTCCCTGCAGGCTTGATTTTAGGAAGAATTATGCTAAATATTGTTCTGCTTTTTCAAAGTTTATCCAGAATGACAGTTGTGGTGTATAATACCTGAAACTAGAGATTGGAACTTTTTCTTAAAAATAGGAACAGGAGGTCGGGTGTGGTGCCTCATGACTGTAATCCCAGCACTTTGGGAAGCTGAGGCGGGCAGATCACTTCAGGTCAGGAGTTCGAGACCAGCCTGATCAACATGGTGAAACCCCATCTCTAGTAAAAATACAAAATTAGCCAGGTGTGGTGGTGCATGCCTGTAATCCCAGCTATTCAGGAGGGCAAGGCAGGAGAATCGCTTGAATCCGGGAGGCAGAGGTTGCAGTGAGCCGAGATCACACCATTGCACTCCAGCCTGGGCAACAAGAGTGAAATTCTCAAAAGAAAAAAAAAAAAAAAGAACTGGAAACTACATTAATGAAATCAGGTTTTAATATTCTTATTAATTTAATAATTTCAATATTTACCTTAAATATTATTTTAAAATGGGAATTTCATTTGAAAAAAAATTTTTAGACAATGTCTTGCTATGTTGCCCAGGCTGGACTTTAACTCCTGGGCTTAAGCAATCCTCATGTCTCAGCCTCCTGAGTAGCTAGCTGGGACTACAAGGAATTTCAATATTTATTTTAAAAAACATGAAGAGTCTGTCATTGTCATGACCTGACTCCTGATTGCCACAGGCCCACTCTCTGCTTCATCCAGTGAGAGGAAGAATGACCTTTGTAACTCTTCTGTGAAGCTAAAAGTGAAAAGGAAAGATAAGCTTTGGTAACATTCTCTTACTTTTGAGAAACCATGAGCAGAAGTCAGAGGCATGAGCAGCGCTGGTCTGGGTCCCTTGCTGCAGGACTTGGCTGGTGCCTAGTGACAGGGAGGCCACATGGAGTACTGAGAATCAGGAATGGAAGAGAAGCATTGTCTCAGCCCCACTAGAAGGAACAGGCTTGGAACTAAGCAAGGCCCATTCCAGCCCTGGAAGAGGTCAAACAGAACATCCATAGGCTTAGGGAAAGACCTGACTATTCAAGAAAGGATGAGAAGCCTTCTCTAAGCAAGTATTTACTGAGCACCCAGTGACACCATCAGGACTTCAGGTATCATAGACACGATGGCCAGACCTTTAAGGAGCTTCTGGCTGGTATGAAGCCAAGAGTTCCGCACAGTACGCGGAAACTCACTTCTATAACGTAGACTTGCTGCTAGTCGTATGAGGATTCACAGGTAAACATGATCACATCTCACCAATTTGCCTCTTTCTGACCATATCTTATTCACTCATCTGTTGTCTATCAATTCCTGTTGCAGATGCCTAATCCAACTTCTGGCATAGAGAAGGCCCTTAGAGAAAAACATTGTGAATGAATGAATGAATGAATGAATGAATGAATGGGTGAGTGTGCTGGGTGTTGAATCAGGTCCTAGCCTTGATGTCCTAGGAAAGGGATTCTTGATGATGAGTTACAGGATTCTCTTTTACCAGGGAGAAGGGATCTTGGACACTAGGAATCTTTACTTATCCTTGAATGCTAGTTAATTAGGTCATTAGAGGGATGTTCTTTATTTCATAGGGTGCATTTCAATGCACAAAGAGGATCAAAGTTGAAGACTTTGGATTGTGTGCTATTAAAATATATGTGATAATTTTTTTCCCTTGAATTTAAGTTTAGAAATAAATGTGTCTCCAAAGATGGATTTAAATGTTTTGGATTTATAGGTATTAAACCAATGTACTTTCCCTTTTTTGTTGTTCAGAGTGCTTAAAACTTAAATCAGAGCCCAGCTGTTGTGCTAAACCTGTCTCAGTGCCTAATTCCATTGTCATTCTTACTTTACATTGCGTTTTTATCTTGGGATCATAGGATGGGTTTTCATGAAGCCCCCATATATTTGCAACAATTTCTGGGAAGAGAGGACATAGATATCAACATTTCCTTGGAAGGATTTGTGATTGTTCACAAAGTCCAAGAACCACAGGTTTAACTGATTTTCATTTTCAATGGTGATTCCCAGGACACACAAGCCTATAGTGACTGGTGAAGCTGAAGCAATAGATACTCAAGAGTAACTCTCTAGCTTATATCCCCCATTTTGTTACTGTGACCCCAATATCCTTACCCAACCCCTGTCTTACTTTGAAGGCAGGGTCCACAAAATACCAGTTGTACCAATGGCAGAGCTCAGCTGCCTCTCTCTTGCCCAGGGGTGAGATTCACTCTCTCCCACTATTTCCCGTAAGACCTTTGCAAGTCAAATACCTTACATCTTTTCATGCTATAAGCTGTGTGGGAAATGTGATGTACTTTCTGCTGCTCTCATTGCTTCTGAGAGCTGTATAATACTGTAGGGAGGCAGTCAGAAAAAAGCTGGAGTTCAAGAACTTCTAATGGAAACTTGGAAACAGTGCCAAAATCCAGTTTTCCTCCCTTGCTTTTCCTATTTGCAAAACAGCGTAGGAGATTGGGGCTAGTTGATTTCTAAGATAATGATGATTTTTCCCTTGACTCTTGACTTTTTTTTTTTTTTTTTTTTTTTGAGACAGTCTCACTCTGTTGCCCAGGCTGGAGTGCAGTGGCATGACCTCAGCTCACTCCAACCTCCATCTCCCGGCTTTGAGCAATTCTCCTGCCTCAGCCTCTCAAGTAGCTGGGATTACAGGTGCTTGCCACCATGCCTGACTAATTTTTGTGTTTTGAGTAGTGACAGAGTTTCACCATGTTGGCCAGGCTGGTCTCGAATTTCTGGCCTCAAGTGATCTACCCGCCTCGGCCTCCCAAAATGCTGGGATTGCAGGTGTGAGCCACCACACCTGGCCTTGAGTCCTACTTGCTGTTTCATTACTTGCTACCCAGAAAATTATCAATTTTTCTCATACCTCTTATCTCAAGTCTAAAATAAGAATGTCATTGTAAACTATCAATCCAGGGCAGGGGTGAAGATGGCTGGTGAGTGAGTAGTTAGCAATAATAATAACAGTGGAAAATGAAAGAGATTAAGTAATTTGCCCAGTGTCACAAAATAATGAGAAGCAGAGACCCAAACCCAGGCCTAGCTGACCCCCAAATCCATGCCCTGAAACACTTTGCAATACTACCAAGTGCAGAGGGGCATTTGCGAAGATCAATCATGGGATACAGGTTTGCCCTGAGTGATGACATCGCACATTAATCAAACTTCACTTGGGGGCAGGAACTGGATTCTAAAAGCAACCTGAAGGCTGCCAGAACTCGGAAGACAGAGTCACCTTCAATCTTTATGAAGCCAAGGGCACCAACTGAGCAATCTGGAAAGGACTTTTCTAGTTATTTCAAAGCTTAAATATGTAATAAAATTCTTGAAAATAGGAAATGCCAACCCTTTGTTCATATAGCTGTATTTTAAAAAATTATCCTAAGGATAGATTGAGAGGTGTACACAAAGTGAAACATACCCATGGTCACTTCAGTGAACATTTATAGTATCAAGAAAGATGAAATGAAGCCAGTGATCAACAAGAAGTTTGCACAAATACATACACATATACACAGTGGGACGTTAAGCAGACACTAAGCCCGTATGTGGAAGAGTACGTACAGACGGAGGAAAGTTTTCTTGTGATATTGCTAAGGAAAAAGGCAGGCTACAAAACAGTATTTATTTTTATTTCTTAAAAAATATATTCACAGCTTAAAAAATGGACTTGGGCAAATGTAATATTCACTTGCCCGGAGTGGTAAGACTCCAGGTGACTTTTGTTTTCCCCTTTGTGATTTCCCACTGTCTCTAATCTTTCTGTAATGAGCATGTATTACGTTTGTAGTCAGAAAAAATGTCTAATAAACATCATGTATTAAAGAAGCCAAATCCTGTCCCTGTAGCACTCAGCTCAGGAGTTATGCTGCTTTGTGGCCTCAGTGTCATACAGGATCTCTAGCCTTACAGGATTTCAGAGACTTACCCTCTAAGCTTCTGTCCTGAGGGCTCTGGCACTGGCCCTGAGCAAGTGCATTGGGTTGGAAGATAAGCTGAGTGTCACCTCTCCTGGATACAGGTAGTTACCCTTCTCTGCAAAGCCAGGTGACGGATCTGATCTCATGTACCAGACCCATTTCCCCTGAAGAAACTTCTTCCCCAACCCAGTGGACTGCCTTGTAAAGGGTGTCCCTTGTCTCCACTGGGTGGGCGTCTTTGTGCTACGGGATGTGGTGATTGTCAGCCTTTCCAGGGACTTCCTCAGGTCTTCAGGCAGGAGGCACTAGGCAGGCTAGGACAAGCTTGTGCTTGCCTGAATTTGCCCTGGCAACACTCAGGGCTCGGCTTTGCTCCATTGTCATGCATAAATAGCAGATAATCCTTTCAGAAGTAGGCAGGATTTAAGTCTTATAGTCACCTACCCAGAGGGAGCCATTGGCAGTGCTCAGCCCTCTCTGTGCTGTCTTGCTTAGGATGTGAGGGTGTTGGTTAGATAGGCTCAGTGTTGTAACCAGCAGTCCATGGACTCAGTGATTCTGAAGGGCAGCTGCCTGTCAACCTTTAAAAACATGGTCATCCCACTCTGAGATGACAAGAGCCACTCCTCTAGGTGAGTCCCTTCTATTTGTCGACACCATCTGGTTGGTGCCTGACCCCAGGGGCACTGGCCAAAATGTGGGGCTAGTTTGTGCTCACTCTAGGAGCTGAGGAGAAAGGTGGGCACCCTGAGCTGGAGAAAGGCTGCTTTCACAGTACTATGCCTGGGAGGACAAAACCCTGGACAGATTCAAGTGCAACTGCTTTTGCTCCTCTGACCTTGTGACCTGAATGGGGAAAAGTGCCTCTGTGAGCATTGTCGGCGGGTGGTGCAGGGAGAGGGCAACATTCAAAGCTCTGCTGTGCATGTGTTCCCTTGGTTTTCTTGCCTTTCTTTCTCCCCCTTTGAAATGAAAAATAAAGCCACCTGTCAAAGCTGGTGATATGTTCAGACCTGTAACCCACACAGATTCAGGAAGACTTCAAAGTGGAAACTCCTCGGATCTGATTACATTTCATCACAGATGGTAAATTTATGCCCTGAGCCCCCACCTCTGCTCTGACTTCTGTACTTTAAGCTGGTGAATAGAATATACAGTGGTGTTGTTTGCAGACTAATGAGTTAAATGCCATTTATTCTCTTAAACTTTAGAGACTATCTGGATTTCAACAGAGATGAAAATGAGACTTAGCTTTTTTTGTAGATTCCGGGCTCTGAAAGACATTTGCCTATTAGAAGATAAAACATTCCCTATCAGGGTGTCTGCCAACTTGATAGCACTTTAACTTGTAAAAATGGAAATAAAAATAGTGCATAAGTCACAGGGCTGTTATGAGCAATCATTAAGTTATTATGTGCAAAGCACTAGGAATACCGCCTGAGACAAATTAAGTGTGGTATATGAGTGAGGTATTGTTTTCCTGAGGCATCAGATACAGATGAGGCTGGAAAAAGGAAGGTGAGTCTGTGTGCTGACGATGTATCTGTAACTGTGTATGCCCCCTGTCTAGTAAACTCCACTGGCAGCCACTCCAGGCACACCATGACCTGACTCCAACTTAGCAAAAGGAGAAAGCCCTATGTCACATGGCTTGCTTCTGCAGCAATTTTACTCCAGAAAACACTGTCATGTCGCCTCCTCAGAGAAGACCTACCCAACTTTTGCTGTCTGTTATCTCTGAACTTATATAACACACATATTCAGGGCCATGGAATTTGGTCTTGGGATTGGACTGACTAAAAAAGTGCTGTTATTTGACTTATCCTATGAGGCTCTTTTTACTGCTTCTATGAGAGGAGCCCATGGGGCTTCTCTGTTGTTGCACAGATCTGTCAACTTCTGATTGTTGTTCAAGGCTCAGATAAAAAGCATTTATTAAGAAAAGAGTAGGAATGACTTGGAAGAGATGTTGGGCTCATTTTAGAACGTCTCCCCCCAAGGTTAAGCTGAGTAGCGCAGACCTGGGGAGCACTTCCCCATCCTGGCAAGGGAGAGTCTGTTACCTCATGTGCACAGAGCACTCATTTGTTTTCCAAATGGGTACAGCTAGCCCAGCAGGAGAGAACATTTCCCTCTGGTTCAGGGATGTTCCTTTGTTTCCTGCTCTGTCAGCTGTAAGGTTCAGGCAGCATCACGCCCCCACAGCCTCTCAGGGTACAAGGTGGGAGCTCTGGGTACATGCCTCTAGCTCATGAGTTGTTCCTGCCTGGCTCTTCCTCGGGCTGAGAAAGGATCCAAATGCAGTCTGGTTTGGTATTGAGTAGCTCCTCATGGCCACTTGACTACCGGCTAAAAAGCATCCCTAGAGAGAGCATTTCTAGGCTGTGCTCTTAGAGTAACTAAAGCTGTGTTAGGGGAATGTTTTCACATCAGGGTCCTAAGTTGGCTTTAGACTCCCATTGCTCTCTCCTCCTTTTCCTTTCTTTGTGGCACTTTCTACACAGATTAGAATCCTGTAAACATACTCTTTTAGACAATTGCTATTCCCACTGGCTCTTCAGCCAAGAATAGAGCATTCAACAGACATCTCCTGACTGCAGACTCTGCCCATGATCTCGAAGAAACAAAATAATTGCCGTCATCTTGGAGCTAACAGTCTCGTGGTGCAGACAGATATGTAAAGAGGGCAGAGTCCGTGGCAGTGGAGGTGTGTGCGGGATGGGGAGCTGGAAGGACCATGCTCTCCACAGGCTGCCTTCTCCAGCCTCCTCCAGGGGTGGCTTCCTTGTCTAATGGGAAACCGCCACAGCAGGGACCACCTCAGAAGGTGCCTTGGGGACACATAGATTCACCAGATGTAGACATCTTCTTTTTTGGGATTGATACTGGTATTAACTATGGCCTTCTCTCAGCTTTGAGGCTTTCAGAGAGGCCCTGTATCTCTACACTGAAACTTAGCCTGGTTCTTAATTTATCGGTCTTCTTCTGTGCACCTGGTCTTACTTCTCTCTGATTACCAGGTTAATTTAAACATCAAATGCTCTTAAGTTTTTTTTTTTTTTCTAGACTCCTCACCTTCTTACACCCATCCCAGCCCAACTTGCATGCAGTCTTCATAGCTTACTCATCCATCCTCAGCCTTTGCTTGACTTTTGGGAGGCACTGTCTATACCCTTCCTATAGAAACAGCCACTCCCATCCCAGGCCTGCCTCTGGTGTTGTGGTATCATAATGCCTTCAGTTTAAAATCCTGCTGAAATGCTCAGCACTTGTAAGAGAGCTCTCTTAGATTATGAATAATTTGGAACACAGATTGCTTCCCATATATTTTGGTGCCCCTTTCAAAGTCTAGAACAGTGGATTACGTGTGGTAGTTATTCAATATGTTTCTGTTTCTGATTGCTAATAATTTTACACACCTTATTTCTAAATCTGTCAATAAATACTGCTTGACCATATTACTCTTTCAAAATTAAAACAAACTCCTCACACACTTGTACACACAAGAATTACAATAGTTCCTGTTTATTGAATACTATGTGCCAGGCTGTAGATGACTTACATGCATCATTTTATTTTAACCCTTGTGATAACTCAGCAAAGTAAATATTATCTTTATAGTACAGATAAAGAAACTCTGGTTGTTGCAAGAGCCTGGATGAACGAAAATCTGTATGCCCACTGTTCATTCAATGATGATCTATGCCAATTGCCTAGTGTAAATGCCTCTGCCTGGGGGCAGTGGGATTTGGAAGGGATTTCATGGTGTATGAGAGGACAAGGGATTTTAGGACCCATGAGTCCCCCTGAATTGCAGAATTTTCTTTTTCTCTTTTGCAGTATTAAGCTTTAAGCAAAAGTTACTTTAAATAAAGTGATGACAATAAGAGGGTCATTTGGGTATTTTTACTCATCATGTGACTCAATATGGATTACTCAATATGGATTTAGCACAGCTGTATTTTAATAATCTAAGCCAGATTAAATGGATCCATGTTTGAAATGTGTATTTTATTTAACAATGTGTTACTTGCAGTACTTTAGATACAAGTGGGCTTCTAAGTTCCTGTTGAGGAAGCTGTGTGGATGTTCAATGAGCTACAGTTTTCACAAGATTTGTCTCTTCCAAATCTTATAAAAAAATAAGCTTCAGTAGCTCATGTGTTTCTCAAATAAATGAACACTAATCAAGTCACACAGTTCAGTTCATTTAGTTTTTAAAATAGCTCCATGCTATTTTACTTTAAAAATCTTAAGAGATTTCCTGAAGAGATCATTACCACCAAGTTGGTACTGACTTGTGGAGGCAATAAAACAAATAAAGTCATTAAAAATAATTTGAACAAAAGGAGTAACTTGATATCATGCCGTCTACCTTCGGTTAAAATGACATTTTAAAGTTCTCTTTCATCTTACTCAACAGATCTCTAAAAGAAAAAGATGTGATTAATAAATTATCCTCCATAAATCTTATGATAACTATTATAGTCTTTGGAGAATTATGAATCCACATCTGGAAAAAGTATTTTATATGCTACTGCCTGTAAAGCAGCATGCCATGCATTTTACAAGTGCACATTAGTAAGTAAAAATACGGTATGTTTTTTGTGTTCATCATTTTCCCCTCCAAAAGAAGTGTAAGCCTAGTTTATTTCATAATAAAGAGTGCTAATAAAGTTTATGTGAAGCTTGTTTTCTGCCCTTACTTTGGTGCTGATGCAGTTTTGGTAGGTTATTTGGAATGGGCTCTCTATGAGAACTCAAGGAAGCCTTCACTATAAGCTGACTTGGTTGGTGCCCTTAGAACCCCTGTGTGGGCAGAGGCCAGCTGGTCCAGAAACATCACAGGAGTAAGCAGAACACATAAGAACCACACACTTCACTTTTCTCATGTGCTTTTGAATTTGATCCCTTTTATACTATTTTAAATGCACAAGTCTCAGGAGCTAGTGATTCAAAATGCAAGGTTGGCTCATTTTTTGAATTAGGAATTTGATTAAACTTAAACATTGGTTAAATAAAACGAGCAAAGTACTTTGAGAGCCAACAATGATCCCTTGGAAATAGAAAATGTTTTTTCGTTTCCAAGCAGCTGTTTGCAATAAGAAATGGCTGGTGAAAGAGAAGGACGCAGTTAAGTGAAGGTAACCCCTCCAGGGTTTTATGGTGCTCTGTAGTCATGTGAGCACAGTCAGTGATAAATATCGCAATAGAGGTTTCAATGTGCCTGGTTTTATTTTCACGTGGATGCTTGAATACATTTCAACTCAAGTCACAGAATGCATTTAATGACTGTGGAAAAGCACGATCATAACATACACAAAAGCAACCTTAGAAAAAAGAGATGTATGAGTCTCATTTCTATAAGAATAACCTACAACAACCCATAACAAAAACACCTGTAAACCAAATTTTCTTTTGTTTGGATTTTGGAAAAGCAGCAGGCTATCTACTAAGTAAATACCAGGCCTTTGGGCTCTAGAAACTTTTAATGCATTTATCTTTTGGGCCTTGTTTCCAAACATTTAGAATTACCAGATAAAGGGCTTGTGATGCTGTTGCATAGTGAGGACCTTAAAGGTCACTGAGTCCAGCCCCATTACTTCACAGATGAGGAAGCTGAGGAGCAGAGTGAGAACCAATGACTCACGAAGACAGGATTAGGACCAGTGTTTCCTAAATTTAGGCCTCCCAACTCCTAATCACTCCAGTAGATTGAAAATACTTCTAATTTAAAATGGGGGCAGCATGTCATGTGAGGAGTGGGGTCTGCATTCCTTTAAGAGAATCATCAAAATACATTTTCTAGAATCCAGTGACATTTATTGACAAAGGCAATTGATAGTTCCATTCAAAGTGTCACGAAAACATCACCTGATTACTATGAGATAGGTAAATGTAGGTATCTTTGCTTCACTCAGGGAACACTGGGAAATAGTTTTATTGTTCTAAATTTCTAGAATTATTTCTACCAATAACTAGATGTGTGAGCTGGCATAATTCTCACAAAAGCTATGCCCCTAAATTTCTTCAATTTTAAAATAAAAACAGTAAAGATGATTGTAAAGCTACCTTTTAAATAAAAATATATGTTTTAAAAAGTTCCAGTAGGGGTCTTCTAATGTCCGTTTCCATTTCTAACCAGCGCCTATGGATGTGATGATATCAGGCATTGCTGTTTAACAAACCACTCCAGAACTTAGAGGCTTAAACTAGCAATCATTTATTGAGCTCTTGGTTCTGTGGGTTGCTGATTTGGTCTGGGCTCACTCATGTATCCTGATGAATGTACTTCTGAGGGTGAATGGGTTATTGGCTATTGGGGTGCTCATCTGGGCACATGGCTTCTTTTCTTATATAAGCTAGCCTGGGCTTCTTCACATCTTGGTTGCAAGTTCTAAGAGATGGAGTAGAGTTAATCAAGCCCTCTTGAGGCCTACACTTCAAACTGGCACACCATTATTTTTATGTCATTATATTGCCAAGTCACAAGACCAGGCAAATTCAAATAGAAGGAGAAAAAGACTCTTCCTATTGTTGAAAAGTCACAGTTCAAAGTCAAACTGACATAAATACAAAGACAAATGGAGACTTGTAATTATTTTTGCAATCTACAATAGTGGCTATTATTATTGAGAATACTATGTGTTCCATGAATCACTGGTAACAAAAACCTTGGATTTCATGAATCAGTATAAAAACAAAATATCATAGTGTGAGAAATACACACAAGTATTCAAATATTAGAAATTTTTGGTTAGAATAAATTAGAACATTTAAAACCAAATACCAATCACTCTCTATCCCCATTATTCTATATATAATTTTGATTTACTACCAAAACAATGTAGGAGGAGTATAATCTCAGACAAAAGAAATGGCAGTCTCTCACTAGTATTTTATATGCCTAGTTTATTGTCCTTATTTTCCTTACTGGTCTGCCAACTGGTGAAAACTTCATTAAGAGTGGCAGTGTTTCATGCTGTGAAATTTGAGGACCACTGACTGCCCTAGAGAGTATTTGTGCCAATGGTCAGGTGGTGAGCAGCTCCTCATGTATGGCTTTATATAAGCCTTCACTGTGAATCTGAGTTCCAGACACATCTCACCTACAGATTGGTTTGAGTAACACGGTGAAGGATGATTCCAAAGACCTGGCCCCATTGGGACCAGATTTAATTTGTTAAAATATCAAAGAACACATGTATCTCTCAGTCTAGTGGCTTAACAGTAAAGCTCAGTGCTTTGGCTCTATTCTTACCTGGACAGCTGGTGGGAGAAATAGGCCCTCAGAGAGCCTGGTTCTTACAAGGGTGCTGCATTCCCAAACTGAGAATTCTCCATTAAATATTTACTTGGTCAAACTTGAGTTTTTCTATCTGTAAAATGGGATAATAGATAACACTATTTTCATTGTATTTTTGTCAGTATTAATTAAAATAACACATGTAAAGTGCTTGAAACTATGCAAGGCTCATCGTAGGTGCTCAACAGAGCATTGGTTGGTTGGCTGGGTTTTAAAAAATGTTAATTTTTGCACAACATGCCTTCGTACCACAAAGTTGAGTATGATATGCCAAAGACTTTTTTTTTGCTTTAACTAAAATAGATTGTGTTAGGAAAAACATTCTAGCAAAATAAATATGAAATCATAGGCATATTTTATAAAAATGAGAACAAGTACTTATAACTGGAGATCTTTCTCACAAATATTTAAATAACATCAGTATCTACATAAATTAATCCTGGTTCTTTAAATAGCACTTACCTACCATGGATGCTTTATCATGGGGAAGGTGGGTTCCTTGGGCTTCTAAGATAGCCTAGACACTTTTGTGGAAATTAATTTGCTACTTTTTTTTTTTTTTTTTTTGCTACTAGCTTTTGTGACCACTACTCCAACCCCCTCCTTGCCAACAACTAATATATAAGGAACCACTTACAACTTCTCAATCAATGACTCCAATTTATCTTTTTTTAGTATGCACATCTTATTCTTATAGTTCTCTAGGGATATCAAGACAAGGAAATAAAACAGAATAATGTGATGACCTAGTTTGTATGAAGCCACTATTGATGGGTATGGTCTAAAGTTTGGTTTTGTTTCATCCCTACTACCAGCTTTTCTTACAGCTATAGCTTTCTTTATTCTTAATTGACATTAAACAGTCTGTTACCAACTATTGTTAAGACAAGTTAATATGCAGAACTGCTTCTTGGTTGCACGTTGGAGTTGTAAAATTTTCAATGATGCTAGAACTAACAAGACTTTAAAACCAAGACACAGTGATTTTTCAACAAGTCTATTTACATCATAGTCTGTGACCAAATTTTTCCTATTGCTTTTCTTATTAAGTTGGCTTCCTTTTTCTAAATAAGTGACTTCTGAGACCAACACACACGAACACACAGACACACACACACACACACACACACACACAGAGAGAGTCTCTGAACAACGAAAGTCCCTGCTACAGGTGGCCATCACAGGGCCTCACTTACACTAGTAACTTAACACAATGACTCTCTCCACATTGATTGGTGGTGATTGAGAAACCAGGACTGGTTTCTCACCTCTGTGGTTCCCCTGTGCTCCCAATTCTGTGATACGCTATATTAGCCCACCACTCTGGAAGGCTTCCAGAGCAATCGTTAATTCTATCTGTTATAGATAGAGTTAATTCTATCTGTGGCTACTTTAATGTCCTTTTAGCATCCCCGGAGTCGTAATTCTTGCCAAGAAAAATTGATCCCAAATTTTGCTGGAGCCAAAGAAACCACCTCAGTGGCTTTCTTAATGCTGTTGGTGTCAATGAATCTCCCTCCCCACTTCATACACACCTTTCTACATCCATGTTAAAAAGCCACCTGTGAATGTATGTGCATGTGCGCATGTGTGCCATTTCCTTATTTTTTTTCATTTGGAATATTATGTTTAAACTTGTCATTTAAAGCTTTTGCTAAAGCTATTTATTGTACCCACTATCCATCTGGAAAAATGAAGTTACAGTAGACCAATTGATAAACCTGAGAAAAATAGAGAGAGGAGGATGTTGTGAATAATAGTAATAACATTAACAGGACCATAATAAACTGTTAATTTCCTGAGCTAATTTTAAAAGCCTATGATTATGAGTATGAAAACTCACTTCTCTCTCTATTGAATTGAGAAAAGTCTGTGGATTATGGCAATCATATATGTCTGACCCTTCATTTGTATTTTTAAGCTTTGTTTGGCAAGCATCTCTTAGTATCATTTTATTTTTTTTACTTTACTTAGCAAAATAAATACCTTCATGATGAGGTGGCATGAAAATCCCTTACTATAAAGAAAACCAACCTTAAATACTATCCTTTTTGAAATGGAACTGACCTCCATGGAATAGAAAGAAGGAAGGCAATAAGAAAACAGAAATGCCTCCCTGAAACAGAACCCAGAATCTAAAACCAGTCATTCTCTTGAGGGTTGAAAATGTTTTCCTTCAAATTAAGTTAGACTTGTGTTTCTACCACTA
The DNA here is from genome assembly GCF_000001405.40 of Homo sapiens. NCBI lineage: Eukaryota > Metazoa > Chordata > Mammalia > Primates > Hominidae > Homo > Homo sapiens. The sequence continues at coordinate 19,219,759 of NC_000002.12, read as the reverse complement.
TAGTTTCAGCAATGGAAATTTGATAAGGATGGCCGTTGCTCTGTTCCCAGATGGTCCAGAAGATCTACAAGCCTCCCAAACAAACTGTTCACGTTCCTGAGCATCAATTCTCTAATAAAATTAGGTGCATTTCCAATAGTAACACTAACGATTGCTTGTTCAAACTTAATCTACAAATCTCCTGAAGTTAAATAGCACAACTCTGAATATATATATGTATTTTTTTCTAAAAATCAAAGTGTTCTATATGTGAGATAACTTGCATTTTTTTTGAAATATATATTGATAGTTGTGGGTAGGATTTTCAGGAAGAAGAAACAAGGAAGAGCCCAGCCTAGCAAAGGTTGGATGGGTAGAGTGAACAGCTTCTGACATGGCTCACAGTGATCTCTTTCTCCTGGTATTATTGCCCTTGGCAATCTCCTCTCCTTGAAGATAAGCTTGACTTGGTAACTTATTTCTAACAAATAGAATATGGAAAAAGTGACGTGATGTCACTTTCAGGATTAGGTTATTATGAAAGAATGTGACTTTCTACCTGCTAACCCTGTCTCTTCACCTCTTCTTGTGAGCTTGCTCTGATGAAGCAAGCCGCCATGTCATGACCTTCCCTGTGGAAAGGACCATGTGGCTAAGAACAGAAGGTGGTCTCTGGCCACCAGCCAGAGAATAATTGAGTGCCTCATCATAACAGTGCACAAGCAACTGAATTTTACTGACATCAATGTAATGAGCTTCGAAGCAGATTCTTCCTCACACAAGCTTTCAGGTGATACCACAGGCATGGCAGACACCTTAATTGCAGCCTGTGAGAGACTGAAGCAGAGGGCCCCGATACACTGCACCCATACTTATGATCCACAGAAATTGTGAGATAATGAATATGGGTTGTTTTAAGTCTTTGAGTTTTGGTGTAACTTGTTATGCAGCAATGGATATTGTATTAGGGTTCTCCAGAGAAACAGAACCAAGAGGATGTGATTACATACACACACACACACACACACACACACACACACACACACGAATATGATTTGTTATAAGGAATTGGTTCATGCAATTATGGAGGCTGGTGAGTACAAAGTCTTCAGTGTGGGCCAGCAGGCTACAGATCTAGCATTGCTGATAGTGGAGTTCCAGTCTGAAAGCCAGCAGGCAGAGACCTGACAGATGAAGACGGTGCAGATGAAGGTGGATACACAGATGGAGTCCAAAGACAGGCTGCTGGAGAATTCCCTCTTGCTTAGGAAGACCCACTTTTTTGTTCCATTCAGGATTTCAATCAATTGAATGAGGACTGCCCACATGATGGAGGAAATTTGCTTACTCACAGTTCACTTATTTAAATGATAATCTCATCCAGAAACACTCTCCAAGTTGACGCATAAAATTAGCCATCACAGATGTGAAGCTAGATCTTATAGGTGTCTTTTAGTGAAGCTGGGACACAACGCCCTGGGCAAGAGAGAGAGCACATTTCAGTTCTACAGCAGGCTGTAGTTTTAAAGAACCAGTGTTCCAGGAAGGAGGGTCTGACAGTGTTGTGTGAAGTTCAGAAACACAAGCCTCTGACCCCAGCAAAAGATGAGCTAAAAAGTCTAGTGACCACTCTAAGAAGAACCTCCTTACCATGTTGCAAACTATCTGAGGAGCAACAAGATTCAGGTCATCCAGTTTTCTTCTTAGTTATAAAATTAGTTATAGCTCAGCTCTCAGGTCATGGCAGATGATTTCAACAAATTGTTAAGAGAGCATATATACATGGAATGCCCACTTAGATATGAAAGAGCATATTACTAGCATTACTAGCCTTCCAGAAATCCATTGTATATCCTTACCTGGTCATAACTTTCTATCTTCCATGAGTTTTTATTAGATATTTCATAACCAATAAAATTTGGAGAGTATTCATTAAACTTCATGACTATGAATGTCAGTGGAACACAGAATGTGTATTGATTATTCTAGCTGTTTTAAGATGTTCCTTCTTAGCTAGATTCATTTTTTAGGAGTAAGGCTCTTGTTTCATTCTCTTTGGGGGAACCCATAGCCTTAAGCACAGGAACGATCATCTCATATGTGCCCTGACGGTACCCACAGGTGGCTGTGTGACAAGTGGGTAATGAGAGCAGTGTCCAAGCTCAGATGGAGATTTTCAGGAGGTAGGATGTTTTGGTGAGAGAATACATATACAGCTGGGCCCAAAGATCCCTCAGGGTCTTAGGTCTTTAGGGAAAATTGTCTAGCAGTAAAGAAAGAACTGTGAGCAGCCAGCCTAAAGCTGTATCTTGTATAGACAGAATTGGAATCATTGGAACTCAGACTTTCATAACTGTTTAAAGATAACAGCTGGTTTTAAGTGCTAAAATGTTCAGCAGCTAGGTTTGTGGCTATATTATGAAAGTTAACAGGCATCTGTACCAGAGTTTGCTTTAATTGGAGCTGTGTGTACATGCAAAGAGAGAGACAGAGAGAGAGAGAGAGATTGATTTAAACATAAGAGGCAGTTCTGAAGGTCACATAAGTGTAGTGGGAGCCTACTGTCCTGACTGCAGTATTTTACCAGGCGATGAAATTCTAGGCTTCATGGAAAATAGAATCTGAATTTCTTCTATAAATTGTAAGTGTTTGTTTCATTGTGGCCTGCTGGCACTAGGATTTGGTCTGTCAAGGGTATAATAAAAATGAACACAATGCCAAGAAAAACAAATGCTAAACAGGAGCCTGAGCAGGCTAAAATATGCAAACAAGCCAAGGGATCCCATCCCAGCAGCAGGGTAGGGAGCTTGGGGTGTTCAGGAGAGAGGAGCTCATTGGAGTGGAGTCAGTGGTATGATTGCAGCTTGCATGGTGAGGAAACTTGCACATCAGTCAGTGAGGCTCTTGGTGCATGTGTCCACCTGCAGGATTAGTTGAGATTAATGTGCATTGAAGTCCAGTTTCATCCTAAAGTTTCCAAGTGGAATCAGATTCCGATGCCAAGTTGCCTCAAAACAGATGGGCAAGACTTTTCCATGGAGAAAGAGCACCAAGGTGAAATGCCACATGTCAGGAGAAGGTATTTCAAACTTAATTCACAACAGGCAGAAACAATATAGAAGAATAAACTGGCCTGCAGAAATTTCTGGTGTGAATATTGAGAAGGAACCCAAAGTTCTGTTCTTAGAGAGATGATGCTCTCTGTCTGCTCTCTCAGGTTTCCAAAGTTCACCTGTTGTGAAATGCTAGCATTTGTTGCTGGAAATTGACACCGAAGAATGTTTTCACCCTCTGCAAAAAAACCACTGTTTTTATGAATTCAGTGTGAGACCAAATATGTCATCGCTTTTACTCAATGTTACAAAAAGGAGAATTTTTTCAGCTGTCTTTATTGGAACAGAGTGTGTTTTCACACTACTTTGTGTCAGTGTCTCCCATTTTAAGCTCTTGTTTTTATTGGATACTTCAAAATTTTCAGCCCAAACTGCACATATCCCAAACCCACTAGCTTATAGGCCAGATGACTGGGCCAGGGAATAGCCACTTATTCCCAGATTTACGTCAAAACTGATCGAAGTGAAGATCTAAACACACCACCTGCATAGTCTTCAGTCTTAGTTTGCTGGGACCCAGTTCATTCCCAAGTGTGGTTATAACTATAGGCTCCATTTTCATTAAATTCCAATACGTGTTATTTAGAACCTAAAAAAAGACTTTTCATCCCTCTGAATCCCTAATACGTGTGGTTTAGCATCACCAACTCTGCAAATCTGTCCTGTGACCACAAATGGAAGAAGGAACAGGTAGTGTTCACATGTGTGGAGGAGGAGATGCAGAAGAGATGGTGGCATGGACAGTATTTTGACATAGATGTTCAAAGAAAAAGAGTGTTAGAAATGTTGCTAAACGCCGGGCACAGTGGCTCATGCCTGTAATCCCAGCACTTTTAGAGGCGGAGGCGGGCAGATCACCTGAGGTCGGGAGTTCGAGACCAGCCCGGCCAACATGGTGAAACCACATCTCTACTAAAAATACAAAAATTAGCTGGGCGTGGTGGTGGCACCTGTAATATAGCTACTTGGGAGGCTGAGGCAGGAGAATCGCTTGAACCTGGAAGACAGAGGTTGCAGTGAGCCGAGGCTGTGCCATTGCACGCCAGCCTGGGTGACAAGAGCAAAACTCTGTCTCAAAAAATAAATAAATAAATAAATAAATAAAAATAAAAAAGGAATGTTGCTAGGACAAGTGAATGACTGGCAGAATGCCAAATGGAAATTACTACAAAATTTCATATGTACTCTAAACTCTAAAATAATTACAGATAGATTAATAAATGTAATATATAAAACCATAGACATCTTCCCTGCCCTGGAATTCATAATTTATAACTATTATGCATAATTACTAATTCTTAAAAACTATACACTTGTTAAAGGCAAGTATGGTACAATGAAAACTGGTCTTAGCTTTAGAAAATGTGGATTCTAATCTAACTTTATTATTTGTTAGCTGTGAAACTTCAGGTAAGTGACTTCACTTCTCTGTGTTTTAGTTTCCTCAGTAGTAAAACGGAGATAGCAGTAGTCACCTTGTAGCCATTGATATGATGACTCAATGATATAACCTGTGAGAAAGCATTTAGCACTGTGCCAGGCACATATAAGGCATTTAATAAATGTTATAAAAATGAACGAAAGTATGAAGTTGGCACTTATACGTGAGGTTAATATGGGATAAATATGTATGAATGGGAAAAGAACATATTTGAAAGTGGAATATTATGGCTGGGAATGTGGGCACAGTGATGGCTGAAAGTAAACAGAGCACGTGGCTTTTCAGAATGACTGTGCCTTTTGAGGGTGGAGATTATTCACCATGCTGTGTTTCCTTTCGTTCCTGGGGGCTGTTCCTTCATCTCAATCCACAGTGTGATAAACAGATGAATCTCTTTGAATGGAGTAAGCCAAGACATAACTGAACCCAAGCAAAATGACTCTTCAGCAGGGTTGGATTCCTCTGTTTTAAAAACATTCCAATGGCAGTATCTGGAATAGGCAAAGGGAAGATAGAAAGGTGGTCTCAAAGTGATGGCCAGCCCTGGTCACTCCTGTTTACCTCCCATTAATGATCTTTCTGGCCTGCTGCAAACAGCAGAGCACTAAGACGTCTTTCATCATGGAAGACTGAGGTCAGAGGTTCAAGGAGAGTAGCAGCTATTCAGTATTATATCGTGTAAGGGAGGCCAATATTTAAGGGAGGGACCTCTGCCTACTATACATTTGTTTTCACCATCAGTAACTTACCAAGCTCTGTCCTACCCACTTGTTCAGTTTGGAGATTCAACATTTATTTCTTTGGCCTTGGGTTGCTAGATTTTACTTGATAGATATCTTCAGTGTGCAAGACCCACTGTTATAACTGAGAGAAACTAATTAGCAATTCATTTCTGGCCTCAATTTGCACACACACTGCTCCTTTCACTGGAGTTTTGCCACTTTCTTTAAAGGTAAATTAAACTTAGCAAACTTTATCACGCGCCAGCTTGTGGAGGGCTCTGCTGTACACATGGTAGGCGATGACGAGGCACAGAGCTTGACCTCGATTCTCTCCTTAGAGTATGCAGTCTCATGAGAGATGTTTGGTTTCTTTCACGAGGCAGCTTGGTGGAAAAGCTTTCCATGAAGTGGTATAAGGGCTGCAGTCTACCAATGAGGAAACTGAGGCAGAACAAAAGAGGAGGCAAAGTCATTGCCAGAGAAAAGATGCTGAACATTATTTCAGACCTGTAAGTAAGACTGAGAGTGGAGGGAGGGGCAACTTACAAAGCTCAGGAGTCAGAAGGCAAAAGTGACAGGAGCTAGAATTCCCTTTTATGCAACCCTTGTATGTGTTCCAGGGAGATGTTAGGTGGCTGAATGAGGAATACAACATATTTTACCTGTGAAATGTTAAATAACTTTATTTTAGGACAATAATAGATCAGTTGTTCAGAAGTTATATTTTTATATTGGTAATTCCTAGATGATTTGTACAGACCAACATTCCTTCGGAAACTTTAGAAAGGGACAGATTCCTTGGAGTTTTAGAGATGAGGGAAGGCTTTCTGGAGGAGATTGAATTTGAACTTGGTCTTGAACTGAGTCTGAAAGAGGAGTGAAATTGGAGAATTAAAAAGAGGTGACGGAAATTGACTGCAGGGCTCTGTATTCTGTCTTCTGACAATTTCCTTATTTGCCTTGTTTTCCCTAAACACTGCAGCATTGAGTTTCTGTTGACAACTCCTCTGCTGAAAAACCACCCCTGGCCGGGTCTATGCCCACCTTCTCTCCCCCTGGCTGCTTGCCCCATTCCAGCCCATCAGTCCACTTGAACTCAGTATTTTAGGTCTTTCTTTACCTACCTCTCCAGGAAACTCCTTTCATCAGCACCACAGAGACAACCACTAAGTACCTTCCGGAGCCCAGAGATCTGCTTTTTTCATCACTTTGGGTCTTCCAGGTCTTTCACAACAGGTAACACCCAAATCCTTTCCTATATCCCAGATCTGTCTCCTGCAGCTCAAACACATACTTTTTGCTTTCCATGGACTTTATCCCCCCAGATAGCCTGCCAAATCATAAACCTCACCTGATCAGCCTCTTCCCTTCTGAGCCCGCAGTTCCTAATCTTTCACTCAGAAAGCACAGGTGCAATTTAGTCCATAGGCTTTTATTGAGCACCAAGTGTTTGCCTAGGCCTGCAGCAGAGGTGCATTAAAAACTCAGAGAGAGGTGCATGAATATGAAAGCCATGTGCTTGCATCTGATCCCCGTAGCAGCACCTGGATGCTAATAGGCAGGGCCAGTGTTACGAAGGACATTTTAGAAAAGGGAGGAATGAGTTGCAAGAAGGTTAAGTGACTCCCACAAGTCACAGAGCTTATCCTTGGCAAAGCCAGGACAGTGCACCAAGTCTTCTGACTCATGGTTCCATAGTCCTTCTCTGGCATGTTTTCCCCCCACCATCATGCTTCTGAACAACAAACCTTACCTATGGGATAGATCCTGATATTGTACTTATATTCTAGACATATTGAGGGTTAGAAAACTTCAGTAATTTGACCAAAGTTAGGTGATAAGTGGCTGTATTAGGCCATTCTTGCATTGCTATAAAGAAATACCTGAGACTGGGTAATTTATAAAGAAAAGAGGTTTACTCTGATGGTAGTTTCTTTTGCTGTGCAGAAGCTCCTTAGTTTAATTAGATTCCATTTGTCAATTTTGGCTTTTGTTGCCATTGCTTTTGGTGTTTTAGACATGAAGTCCTTGCCCATGCCTATGTCCTGAATGGTATTGCCTAGGTTTTCTCCTAGGGTTTTTGTGGTTTTTAGGTCTAACATTTAAGTCTTTAATCCATCTTGAATTAATTTTTGTATAAGGTGTAAGGAAGGGATCCAGCTTCAGCTTTCTACATATGACTAGCCAGTTTTCCCAGCACCATTAAATAGGGAATCATTTCCCCATTTCTTGTTTTTGTCAGGTTTGTCAAAGATCAGATACTTGTAGATGTATAGTATTATTTCTGAGGGCTCTGTTCTGTTCCATTGATCTATATCTCTGTTTTGGTACCAGTACCATGCTGTTTTGGTTACTGTAGCCTTGTAGTATAGTTTGAAGTCAGGTAGCGTGATGTCTCCAGCTTTGTTCTTTTGGCTTAGGATTGTCTTGGAAATGTGGGCTCTTTTTTGGTTCCATATGAACTTTAAGCAGTTTTTTCCAATTCTGTGAAGAAAGTCATTGGTAGCTTGATGGGGATGGCATTGAATCTATAAATTACCTTGGGCAGTATGGCCATTTTCATGATAATGATTCTTCCTATCCATGAGCATGGAATGTTCTTCCATTTGTTTGTATCCTCTTTTATTTCATTGAGCAGTGGTTTGTAGTTCTCCTTGAAGAGGTCCTTCACATCCCTTGTAAGTTGGATTCCTAGGTATTTTATTCTCTTTGAAGCAATTGTGAATGGGAATCCACTCATGATTTGGCTCTCTGTTTGTCTGTTATTGGTGTATAAGAATGCTTGTGATTTTTGCACATTGATTTTGTATCCTGAGACTTTGCTGAAGTTGCCTACCAGCTTAAGGAGATTTTGGGCTGAGATGATGGGGTTTTCTAGATATACAATCATGTCATCTGCAAACAGGGACAATTTGACTTCCTCTTTTCCTAATTGAATACCCTTTATTTCTTTCTCCTGTCTGACTGCCATGGCCAGAACTTCCAACACTATGTTGAATAGAAGTGGTGAGAGAGGGCATCCCTGTCTTGTGCCTGTTTTCAAAGAGAATGCTTCCAGTTTTTGCCCATTCAGTATGATATTGGCTGTGGGTTTGTCATAAATAGCTCTTATTATTTTGAGATACGTCCCATCAATACCTAATTTATTGAGATTTTTTAGCATGAAGCACTGTTGAATTTTGTCGAAGGCCTTTTGTGCATCTATTGAGATAATCACGTGGTTTTTATCTTTCATTCTGTTTATATGCTGGATTACATTTACAGATTTACACAGGCAACCTACAGAATAGGAGAAAATTTTTGCAATCTACTCATCTGACAAAGGGCTAATATCCAGTATCCAGAATCTACAAAGAACTCAAACAAATTTACAAGAAAAAAACAACCCCATCAACAAGTGGGTGAAGGATATGAACAGACACTTCTCAAAAGAAGACATTTATGCAGCCAACAGACACATGAAAAAATGCTCATCATCACTGGCCATCAGAGAAATGCAAATCAAAACCACAATGAGATACCATCTCACACCAGTTAGAATGGTGATCATTAAAAAGTCAGGAAACCACAGGTGCTGGAGAGGATGTGGAGGAATAGGAACACTTTTACACTGTTGGTGGGACTGTAAACTAGTTCAACCATTGTGGAAGTCAGTGTGGCGATTCCTCAGGGATCTAGAACTAGAAATACCATTTGACCCAGCCATCCCATTACTGGGTATATACCCAAAGGATTATAAATCATGCTGCTATAAAGGCACATGCACACGTATGTTTATTGGGGCACTATTCACAATAGCAAAGACTTGGAACCAACCCAAATGTCCATCAATGATAGACTGGATTAAGAAAATGTGGCACATATACACCATGGAATACTATGCAGCCATAAAAAAGGATGAGTTTATGTCCTCTGTAGGGACATAGATGAAGCTGGAAACCATCATTCTCAGCAAACTATCGCAAGGACAAAAAACCAAACACCGCATGTTCTCACTCATAGGTGTGAATTGAACAATGAGAACACTTGGACACAGGAAGGGGAACATCACATACTGGGGCCTGTTGTGGGGTGGGGGAAGGGGGAAGGGAAAGCATTAGGGAGATATACCTAATGTAAATGACTAGTTAATGGGTGCAGCACACCAACATGGCACATGTATACATATGTAACAAACCTGCACGTTGTGCACATGTATCCTAGAACTTAAAATGTAATAAAAAAAAAAAAAGAAAGGAGGTTTAATTGGCTCACAGTTCTGTAGGCTGCACAGAAAGCATGGTGCCAACATTAACTCAGCTTCTTGGGAGGCCACAGGGAGCTACAATCATGGTGGAAGACAAAGGGGAAGTAGGCACTTCACATGGCCTACTTCCCCTTTGGGAATAAGAGAGAGACAGAGACAGAGCGCGTCAGCAGGGAGGTATCACATACTTTTAAACAACCAGATCTTCTAAGAACTGACTATCACAAAGACAGCCCCAAGCCATGAGGGATCCACACCTCCCACCAGGCCCTACCTCCAGCATTGGGGATTACAATTCAACATGAGATTTGGGCAGGGACAAAAATCCAAACTATATAAGTGGTGGAGGTGGGACTTGAACCCAGAACAGAATGAGTGTAAAACTCATACTCATAATCATCATGTAATCCAGCTATGGTTACAGGAAGGGATTTTTTCCCTGTGACTTTGAGGCAGAATCTATACTCATCAATAGAAGACGGAGAGTCTTGCACTTGGTTTCATCATAAAGAGGAACTTGGTCACAGAGGAGCATCGAATAAGAAAATGGGCAACATTGTGGGACAATGAGTGCCCTATTAATGGGGGGCCTGTTTGTTGGACATGCTACAGAGTCCTGTATTGTGTGCGATGTTGGAATAAGCAGCTTCTGAGGTTTCTTGCAGTCTTGGCATTCGAAATGTTCACAAAGTCAGCACCTATCATGGAATTTGCCATAAATAAAAAAAGCTATGTTTAGAAGCTCAACTCAAGTATTCTGGAACTGGGAGATAGAAAAGTGATCTTCACTTTCAGGACAGTTCCTTGAAGGTTTAAGGATTTGTGACGAGTCACTTAGCTTACAAATGCCCATGGGTCCCACCGATAATACAAAATATATTCTCTACTCTATGTCTGTCTCCCTCTTTCTTATCCCCTTAGGGCTGCATTTAAGAATCATCCAAAGTGCACATTTTCTTTCCTCTTTCTCATAATAACCTTGTAAAAACTTCTTCAGAAAAGAAAAGAAGCTAATTTCACTCTATTGTGTCTTTAGGGCTGGGCTACCTGAGCTACTGCTCATTTTCCTGTTTGTTTTAGGGTCTGATGCAAGATGATTTTTAAATTCTGTATTGTAGGAATTTAGTTCTTAATATGTCAGCTCCATCCCACTGAGTGTTCCATCAACACACAACCCAGTTATCTGCAGGGACCTTGACCCCAGACGGGTAGTCCCAGATGGAAGCCAGGACATTGCTTCAGGAAGAACTATGAAAAATGCACATAAGATACAAAAATGTGGATTATGTGTGAAACAAACAAAAGCACCAGGCAATGTGGAATTTATGTCAACAAAAGCTTGGTGCAAGCTGTTGCTTGCTTCTAAGATGGAAACAGACTCTGGTGCCTGGGGAACAGTAGCAGAGAAGGACTTTCTGCACAAAAGTTGCAAAAACAAAAGGGATGACCTGTTTTGACGATAATTGCTTTCAGGTCTTAAGCGCTCCTCTTTTCTGCATTTACCTCTCCCAGCATTTATAGTGTAGCTGGAGACGTCACTGATTACTGAGCCAGTCTAAGCCATGAGGATGGAAATTGCTGACATTTGTAATGTTTTGACATATTCAAGAGAAGAGAAAAATAGTCCAAAGAGTGGGGCTGCCAATCTTGTTGATTATAAACCAACCTTATGACTGAATGAGGCATGGCAAGGTTCTCAGAAAGATTCATGCACTGGAATCTCAGGAACTGACATACATCATGCTCCAGTTACAGGTCAATTACAATAGTATGACAATTTTTGTTATAAAATTATATATTTAATATTCAACAGAATATACAAACACATACAGATGCTAATTTGTATGTACAATAAAATATACAATTAAATATGCAAACATGCAAGTACTATGTTGATGTATAGTATTACATATATTATAATTAATACATAGTTATATGATGTATAATTATGTTAACATATATTTACTATGAACATTCAATATACAAATATTATGCAATTATACAATTAAAATATAGTATATTTAATATATAATTGTTTGAATTACCGTGTTGGACCCCACATTCCAATTACAGTATTAAATCTGGTGATATTAAACTGCACAGACTTTAGGTGTTACCAGCCAAAAATATTATAAGTTCTGATTTCCAAGTTAGCTATAGAAATCCAAAATTATTCCCCCACTGAGGGATATTTCTAGGTAGGAGACAACCAATATATACAGTTTTTTAAAGCAAATTATTTTCAGTGACTTAACACAATTTCCTTGTTCCTCTATGGATTGCTGCTGGAGCCCCTGGCACCTAAGTGCCGCAAGCCACTGGGTCAGATATACAGATGTATTTGACAACTCTCCACTTGTGTGCTGGGCTGGGTTGGCTCTCAGCCACTCTGCTACCACAGAACTGCCTTCCTGAGGTGTTCTGGGGAGAAAGAGCCCCATGCAGTCCAACTGGCAAGTCTTTTGCATAAATATATCTCCCTTTACAAGGCTGATGAAATTTTGTGGCCCACTGGCCACAGCCTCAACCCAAATCCATGACCGCCACACACTCTCCTTCATGTGGGAGGTACCGCTCCTGTTCTTGCTTCTTTAGACGGCTCCCAAGGCACAGTGCAGCCTCGTAAAGGGAGATTGCGGGTGGCAATCTGCCAGGTCTGGCGAAATGAAGCACCAGAAAATAGAGTTCGCCTTTGTGGAGAATACTCCGTTTAATTCCATTTCATTTAATCCAATTCATATTTAGTGAGTGACAACTGTATGCCAGATTCTGTGGAACTGCCTGTAGCCTGGACTTATTTTAATTTTTTCCCATTTCTAAGTCTTGATTTCTTCATTTATCAGGGTGTTATTGATAGTAATATGCCTCCCTCAGGATTCCAGTGAGGTTCAATGAGAATGCATATGTAGGGTATCCACCCCATTGCCTGGCACATGGTGGGCACATAGTAAACAGCAAGATCTCAGAGGTATCCCTCCATTGACCCCTAAGAATCATTCCAGGCATGGACAGAAGATCTGTAGGGAGAGTCTCTGTAGGGAGCGATGTAGATCGCTCCTCAGGACCACATTCCCGCATTGATGCAGCTGGGTTATACTGCAAACTTCATAGTGCTATGGAGAAATTACATGAGAGGATGCCTGCAAAATGCTTAACTCATACTTAATGCCCAGTACATTTCATGTGGTGTTATTACTATTACCTATTTATCAGACTATCTAGCTATACATCTATCTACAAATTTACTTTGTTATTACTGATAATTTTTTTCTTTTTTTTTTTTTCTCAAGACAGAATCTCATTCTATCACCCAGGCTGGAGTGCAGTGGTGCAATTATAGCTCACTGAAGCCCTGACCTCCCAGACTCAAGCAATCTTCCTGCCTAAGCCTCCAAGTAGCTGGGACTACAAGTGTGTGCCACCATGCCCAGCTAATTTTTGTATTTTTTGTAGAGTTCAGGGTCCCACAATGTTGCCCATGCTGGTCTTGAACTCCTGGGCTCAGGTGATCCTCCTGCCTCAACCTCCCAAAGTGCTGGGATTACAGGCATATTTTCTTGGCTGGAAGCCTCTTGCATTCTGGAGGTCCAATAGTGCTTCTACACCTCTGTTGGAACTTCCTGGCTCCTGAAAGAGTTTGGTCATTCCTTCCTCCCTTCCACAAACATTTACTGAGCACCTGCTAACTTCCAGATACTTTGTTAAGCTCTTAGGTCCCGAAGAAAGATTGGGCCACCTGAACTGGTCACATGGCAGCACCCCTGACTTCTAAAAGGTTATGGTTTGCTTGGGAAGACAGAGAAGTTAACACATAATTTCAGCCCCATGTAATAAATGCAGGGGCAGAGGTCACCATGGGGTGATGTGAGAGGACAGAGCAGGGACATGCACTTTGCTATGGGTCTGCTGGAAGGGGTGGCCAGGGACAATTCCTGGCAGGGAGGGCTCAGCAATTGCATATTGAAGACAATATTTCTCAATTCTTGAGACCTAAGAATCACTATTCATGCTTCTGTTCTAGAAGCCCCAAAGGCCGTGGCTAATGACCAAAAATGTTTGTATTTTGCCAGCCAAATATGCTTGGAAGGCAGAAAAGTAGGCTGGGCTTTCTGAGTGAGTTTCATCCCCATGGGCAGAAACATATCCTGGCGTTCCCCATGGTCTTCAGAGTAGCACTCAGGTCTGTCCACGGAGGGACAAGCCTGCAAGTCTGATGCCACAGTGGCCAGGGCAAGGAAGTTCACGAAGCCCTAGGCAGGAAGTGATAACCAAAGATATAGAAAGCCAATTGGCCCTCCATTTCTGTTATCTGGTGTAGAAAGTAATGCTCTGGATACCAAGGTTGGCTTCTTAGTTAATGCTTTGACCAAAGGCCAGTAAATCTTCCTCATGATTGCAGCAACATTTTCAAGAACCCCGACTTAGAAGCCTGTGGTGCCATCCAGGCCTATGCCTGAGATGGAATCTGGATGTGCCCTGTACCACATTTCTCCTGTCCATTTCTTGTTACTGTATTTTCCTCTGGTCCTTAATATCTGTGCTAATTTTCTGTTCCATTTTGTTCTCCCTCAGGAAGCCCTGAAAGTAACTTCAAATCTCATGAAAAGCCAAACAGCTAGCTCAGCTTTGGGGGTTCACAAAGAAGCAAATATTAGCTTTCCAAAATGAGGCACACATTCACTTCTTAAACTTTCATGCATATAATGTTAGACCCCAAGAAGGTGGTCTCTGCCCACTTTGAGGGTTCAGAGACCCTTGAGAATATATGAGCACTGAGATCACAACAGTGAGTCAGTATATTTGGTGGGGAGGGAATGGCCCCAGCTCCTCAGTTTTACAGCTAAGTGATCTATACCACCTTACTCTGCTGAAACTGACTTCAAGAAGAGGCTAAATGAAACCAGTTCCTTCTGAAGGGGATAACTGAGAAATTGAAATGAATTTGTTCAGAAGGACCTAGGACCTTCCTTCTAGTACTCATTTTTAATAGTGATAAAACTAGGGATCAGTAAAATGGAAGTAGGAAAAGCAGAATTATGAAGCCCATTTACTTGTATTGTACAACTGTTGTAGCCATTTAACATCTGGCTTCTCATTTGACCTACCAAGAGTGATGGTGTGGAGTGCAGTAATGAGACCATCACCTCCATCCTTCAGATGAGGAGGCCACGTTTTAATACTGCTATAGGGCACAGTCAGGTGTATACAGCTTGTCAGTGTAGCAGAGCAAGATTTTAATTCAAGATTTTAATTCAAGCAGAGCGAGATTTTAATTCTCTGATACAAAGCTCAGTAGTGTTTCCAGGATATAACTTATCCAAAACACATTTATTGAGCAACTGCCATGGCCCTGGCCCTGGGCTGGGATGTGGGAGAAAGGAGACTCCTGAGAGGAATATTAGAGGCAGACATAGTAAGGGCCATGAGTGCAAATTCAGGTCATGGGGCTCAGAGCAGCAGTGACCATCTCAAACCAGGGATCAAGACAGGCTTCAAAGGAGAAGAGGTCCTTAACCTAGGCACTGAGGATGGTCAGAATTCAGGCAGGAATTAAGGAAGCAGTGCTTACCCAACAGGACATTAGGCAAACTCATCACTACAGGGGCATCTCTTATGTGGCATTGCACAGTGTCAGAGGGACAGACAGTGTTCAGATGGATGTGAAGGGGGCTCAAAAGACAGCTGTCTTTGTGGGGATTTGGCTCCGGTGTTGTCAGTATCCCTTGTTGGCCTCCTTCTCAGGCCTTGTCCTGTTTTGTCTCTGGTACAGGGTGGTTTGGGCTGCTGAGACGTGGCATGTTGCTGATACTGGTGACAGTGGCCCTGAGCACAGTGTGGCTTCCCCAGCCTAGGTTCACAGGATGTGCCTCTTCCTCCTTAGCACTTAGCTGAACACCGCGAGAGGAGGCTGTAGAGCAGCTCCCTGGCCTCGATGCTGCTGTCGGGAGAAACACCAACCTTTTAGCAGTTTGCAGAGGCTCTCTTTTATCTGGGCTGTTCTCAGATGTGAAGGACACAGAGCAGAAGATGTCTGAAGGCCTGGTTAGCAGGGGGTGAGGGAGAGGAGGAGGGGGAACTGAAATTCAAAGCCAAGACCCTCATCAGCACTGCTCTGTGGCAGCTCATCAGTTCTCCCTCTTCTCACCCGCATGGGAGCCCATGCAGGCCTGCTCTTGCCTGGCTCTGGCCTCTGCAGCATCTGTTAGCAATGAATAAAGAAGAGGTGGAGGGGAGCAGGGCTATGGGTGGGGGCAGGAGGAAGGTCTACTTAAACACAATGTGTTTGCTCACACACATAAAACCACAGGCCTCCTGGAGGCGAGCACCCCGCCAGGCCCCCCTCATTCTTGAATTTGTTATTAGGAACACGCAATCTAGGCCGGCCTCAGTCCTCATTTCTTACATAGCGAGGGGCTTGGGTAAGGAGGGTTAGTTCTTAGGGCCTTTCCTGGGCTGACATCCTGTGTCAGAGGTGAGAGGTTTGCTGGCATAGTTCTGAGAACTGACCAGTCCTCACTCAGGCACATGGTGCTGCAGGACACACAACATCTCTAGTCTGTGAAGGAGGCTGGGTCTTCTCTAGGCTCCACAGAGGGTGAAGCAGACATTCTGGAGAAAGGTTCCATACAGCCCACAGGGGACATCTGATTCTCCACCTTGGCAGGTAAGATCTCCAGGCTCTGATGTCAGCTTTCCCATTATTCTCATTAAGTGGCATCATGTTTATTTCAAAGTCATGACCTCCAGGAAAATAAGAGGGAACAAGAACACTGAAAATGTCCCGAAGCCCAAGTTCAGTCACTAGAATATTTCTGGAAGCTGGACTGTTAAAGGTGATATTATATATGGAATGAAACAGTTCCATTATTTCTCTTAGCAAGTGACTCCCCTTAGGAAATTATTGAGAGTAGGCAAAGAGTTGGAACCTCCCCAAAGTCCCTCAGGATTATGAAATGGGAAAAGGAAACAAAGGCCCATCCTGCCCCCTCCTTTCTGTGCTCCTGAGGAATGAGTGTCCTCTCACAGGCTGTGCAGCTTCTGTGCTGGCCCCATCCATAGCAGGGCTCATGGCTGGATCTGAGACCCTCTGCTGGCCTCATCCATGGCAGGACACATGGCTGGACCCAAGACCCTCTGCAGACCTTACAATGAGAGAATGAAGAAACACACCTCACCTCGGACTTCTCATGCTCTGATGATCTGGTGACCAAGTTCTGAGAGATTCTTGCCAGGGTTTCTATTTTTAAGACCCTCCACTGCCTTTGGGTGGTGAGTAGGTGAGAGATAGGAAGGAAGACGGGCAAAGAGGAGCAGAATGGAATAAGACAAGGGAGTTAACGGTGTGGACATTTTGTATATCTGATTCAGAATGAAGTGACGAACCCACCAGTAGGTAGACTGCACACGAGTAGAAGTTAAAGCAGGGCACAGGACAGGGACACTGGTGCAGGGGAAGCCCCAGGAGCATTGTGAAGGGATGTAGCTACATCTCAGTTTTTGGCAGGGCAGTGCTGACTGTCCCCCAACTACAGCCAAAGGGTCATCTTTGCTGAGCAAGTTAGATACCCTGTGCCCCTGTTATAAACTCTGGAAGTTCTGCCATCACTGACCCACTATTGTGACCCTAGAAATTAGCCTGTTTCTAGGGTCCCAAGTTTCCCGCATATCTCTAAATTGGAGATTCCATTACCCAGACCCCTCTGCAGCCTTGGGGATTAATGAAAGCCTTGTTCACAAATGTCTCGGAATCCATAAAGGTTTAGATCGATAATTAACAAGAAGGAGAAGGCATAAACATTTCAAATATATATCAACTCCCTAATCTATAACAGCCAATAAGTCTAAAAACTGAGTGGCCACAATTTCCCTCAGTGACAGGCAGCCCATGCACTTTCAAAAGTAATTCTTCATTAGGCATAAATTACCACTTGGGGAAACCTTCCACGGATGCCATGGCTGTGGATTTATTAAGTGAAAATGAAACTTTTAAATAAAT
The DNA here is from genome assembly GCF_000001405.40 of Homo sapiens. Taxonomy (NCBI): domain Eukaryota; kingdom Metazoa; phylum Chordata; class Mammalia; order Primates; family Hominidae; genus Homo; species Homo sapiens. Next base: position 19,202,262 of record NC_000002.12, on the reverse strand, counting down.
ATCTGGAACAAAAAATGTATTTCCCATCTAATCGGGCCATGAGGCGGGAGTGTTTAAAGTGCTGTGGAGGCTGGACTTTGAGAGCAGAAACCTGGGCACATTTCTTTAGAAGCCTTTTTGCTGAGTCAGTCACTGGCATGCCATCTCCCTCTCCAACTCCCCAAACACCTGGATCCTCCTGACATTAGCCAAGAGCAATAAGGGCAGAGAAGTCCCTAGGGGAGAGCCTTCCCAAACCCTTAGGGAATCTGATAGGTTCTGAGGCATCTTGTTTCTCTAGGAAGATCTTGATTTGGGATCCGCAGTCAGATTCTCAACCAGGGGACTTCATGTATCCACCTTCCCAGCCAAATGTTCCTGCCAGCTTGTCTTCCCCTTAAGGGCAGAAGAAGCCAGTTCATTTAGTTCCTACGAAATAATCCTCATGAGAGACCAAGGGAAAACAAAATGTGAGACGGAAGGAACACATCAAAAATCTAACCAGCTCCACAGATATTTGATGGCATTCCTGTAGTGCAGGCAGCAATGCTCAGTGAACACTATTTGTCTCTCCAGCAGTGATTCTAGCCCTTCCATATTGTGGAGCTTCCTACTTCCAGTTTCAGGGTCCTGATTACATGATATAGATCATGGTCATTCCTACATCTCTTGCTAGAGAATGGTGTAAAACTCAGCCTAAGCTAATCCACCATGGGGCCTTTCCTGTTGGCAATAATTTATCTAGAAATGGGCAAGAAACATACTTTCAAACCATGAGCTGTAAGAGGATACTTTCTCGGGGCTTTTGGTAAAAAATTTCCTTAGACAAAAGGAAAACTTCAAGGACACCTGGTCTATTGCTGCTGTTGACAATCATGAGGAAGTGTTGGTATTGATGGGTATCCTGTGATAGCAAAGGGAACTAGCCTTAGGATAAAGCTGAATCTATGGCAGAGAGAACAGTGATGAAACCTAAACTGGTCCTTTATGACCTTGTAGATGGACTAGGTTAATCTTCTTTTCCCTTTGGAAATTCAAATTATAACACTGGAGCTCTTCAAGTACTATGAGAGATGGGGTATCTCAGATCGTTGATCCTTCCAGCTTATTACTGGAGGAGATGTCATGGCTAGAAACAGTGACAGTTGCGCTGAAAACCAGCTTTTCACTGGGGAAGAGACTCAGAATCACATAAAAAGAAATTGTCTCCTCTAAGTAAAACTCTTTATAAGTTTCTTTTTTTTTAATATTTTACATTCTTTTTTTATTTTTTTATTTATTTTTATTTTTATTTTTTATACTTTAAGTTTTAGGTACATGTGCACATTGTGCGGGTTAGTTACATATGTAAACATGTGCCATGTTGGTGCGCTGCACCCACTAACTCGTCATCTAGCATTAGGTATATCTCCCAATGCTATCCTCCCCACTCCCCCCACTCTACCACAGGCCCCAGAGTGTGATATTCCCCTTCCTGTGTCCATGTGATCTCATTGTTCAATTCCCACCTATGAGTGAGAATATGCGGTGTTTGTTTTTTTTTGTTCTTGCGATAGTTTACTGAGAATGATGATTTCCAGTTTCATCCATGTCCCTACAAAGGACATGAACTCATCATTTTTTATGGCTACATAGTATTCCATGGTGTATATGTGCCACATTTTCTTAATCCAGTCTATCATTGTTGGACATTTGGGTTGGTTCCAAGTCTTTGCTATTGTGAATAATGCCGCAATAAACATACGTGTGCATGTGTCTTTATAGCAGCATGATTTATAGTCCTTTGGGTATATACCCAGTAATAAGTTTCTACCTAGAATATTCCTGAACAGTCTCCTAGGAAATACAGAAGGATATTCTTGTAAGCAGAAGCCAATCAAAAAACTTTAATGGTGCTGAAACCTTAGAGTATTCGCAAAATTGTAAATCTTATCTGGGTTCAAATAGATCATGTTATAGCTTTTTTTTTTTCACTTTCTGGTCTCAAAAATGGTGATAGTTGATGAATTCTTTTTCTTGTTCAGAGTCCCTAACATAATACCAAAGACCGGGATACTTCAACATGCCCATTTTCTTTAACATTTTCAAAGAAAATATTCAACAGCCTTCTAATTTTCAGAATTGCAGGTCATTCTGGATCAATTTCACCACATCCGAATCCCTTAAGGAGTAAAAACACTCACAATAAACTGGGATCTCAAGAAAACAATTAAATATATTGGAAGAAAACCTCTGTGGTTTTTCTGTAAAAAAAAACCCATTACTACACATATGAGGGTAATGTTGACTCCCTCACTGGGAAAACTAGCATTGAACCCTTCTGGTTTGTGTCTGTTATCCCCCTGGGTTGCATACTTTGCTTTTCTTCCCTCTGTGACTGACACTGATCCCTACTTGACATCATCTGCAATACTGTTGATTCAATCATGAATAGAAAACTGTGAAGCAGGCCATTACTTTTATTTTAGTTCAGTGGGTATTTTGGAGTCCTTTCTGTGTGCAAGACCCAGTGCTAGATGCTCAGACCTCAGAGTGAATATGATGTAGTCTTTGTTCCCACAGTCTAGCAAGGCAAATACATAAATATCATAAATATAAAAATTGAATACATATAATCTATGCTAGGATAGTGGAAACACAGAAGAAGCATAGTTAAGCCTGCTGGGGTATAATTTTGGTGCACTTCCATAAAGGGTATCCTGTTAAAGGATAAATTTAAATTGGTCAGAAAAAACTGAGTAAATTGTATTGTCCACATTTCTAGGCAAGCGGGGACTATTTTAGATGACATTGCAGGTTGAGCATTCCTAATCCAATAATCTGAATTTCAAAATGCTCAGAAATCTCAAACTTTTTGAGTGCCAGTATGAATCCATAGTGTACATTTTCACATCTACTTTGATGTGATGGGTCATAATCAAAATGCAGGTACACAACACAGCTCATTCAGTTTGCCATTGTTTGTTGTTGTTGTTGCCTAACAGCTGATTCAGGTTTTCTGGTGATGCTGCTGTGATGCTTAGTTACCCTGCACACATTACTTTTGCTCTCTATTAATAGTATGTCATATTTTTTACTATTAAGTACTTATGTGTATGTGTGAATAAGTGTAAGAAAGTGACTGTTTATGAGTAGCATATAAATTCAGAGTCAGAAATGATGGTGACACCAAGCAACCACAGATGGTTCACATGAGTGGCTGAGACGGTGATATCTTTGCTTTCTGATGTTTCAATGTACACAATTGCTTTATGCACAAAATTATTAGAAGTATTGTATAAAATTATCTTCGGGCTGTGTGTATAAGGTGTATATAAAACATAAATGAATTTCACGTTTAGACTTGGGTCTCATCACCAAGACATATTATTATGTATATGCAAATATTTCAACATTAAATAAAAATCTGAAATCTCAACTTCTGGTCTCAAGCATTTCTGAGAGGGAATACTCAACTTGTACTAAGTAAAAATCCACCTCAAAACTTAATGGATTAACAAAACAATATTGTAACAATTATTTTGAAAATAAATCTGCAAATTGAGCAGAGCTCAGCAAGAATGGTTTATCTATGTTCCGTGTGGCATCATCTGGGACAGCTCAACTAACAGCTGGAGCATCTGCTTCCAAGATGGTTCACTCACATGAATGACAACTTAATGCTGACTGTTGGCTAAGAGGTCAGCCACAGCTGTATACTGGGAGCCTCAGTTCTCCACTGTGGACCTCTCCACAGGCTGCTTGGGCTTCTTCCCAGCATGGTGGCTGGCTTCCAAGAGTGAACATCCCAAGTGAAAAAAGCAAAAGACAAAGATATTTTTATTACTTAGATTTGCTAGTCACATAATATTATTCCCACTGTTCTTTATTGATCAAAGCAGTCACAAGATCCTGCCAAGGTCCAAGGAAAGGAGATATAAATCCCATCACAAAATGAAAGAATTGTCAAAATCACATAATAAGAGAAACATGTGAATGGGAGATATTATTGTGGACTCTATGAAAACTCAATTTGTCAGAGTTTTATTTCATCCTTCCAATATGTTTACCTTTTATTTCCCTTTTTTGGGGTCTTATTGCATTAGCTAGAACTTCCAGTACAATGTTGAAAAGAAATGGTGAGAGGAGGACATCCTTGCCTTGTTCCTGATTTTAATAGAAAACTTTTGAGTTTCTCACTATTAAGTATGATGTTAGCTATAGGGTTTTTTTGGTAGATATTCTTTATTAAGTTGAGAAAGTTCACCTCTATTCCTAGTTTAGTAAGAATTTTTAAGAATCATGAATAATTGTTGGAATTTGTCAAATGCTTTTTCTGCATGTATTGATATGATCATGTGATTTTTCTTTTTAGCCTGTCGATGGGATTAATTACATTAATAGATTTTTAAATGATGAACTAGACTTACCTGCCTGGAGTAAATCCCACTTGGTCATGGTGTCTAATTTTTTGTATTCATTGTTGGATTTGATTGATTAACATTTTGTTGAGAATTTTTGCATCTGTGCTTATTAGATATAACATTCTGTAGTTTTCTTTTCTTGTAATGTCTTTATCTAATTTTGTATTGGGTTAACGCTGGCCTCATAGAATGAGTTAATAAGTGGTCCCTCTACTTCTATCCACCAAAAGAGATTTTAGAGAATTGGTATAATTTCTTGTTTTAATGTTTTCTGGAATTAGTTAGTGAACTCTAATGAGCCTGGTGTTTTCTGTTTTGAAATTATTGATTCAATTTCTTTAATAGATACAGGTTTATTTAGATTGTCTATATTTTTGTGTGTGCTGCTTTTGGCAGTTATATCTTTCAAGGAATTGGCCAATTTCACCTAGGTTGTCAAATATGTTGGCATAGAATTGTTCATGTTGTTCTTTTATTATCTTTTTGATATCCATGGGATCTGTAGTAATGTCTCCTCTTTTATTTCTATTTTTTTTTGATAATTTGTGTCCTCTCATTTATTTGATTAGTTAACTTGGTTAAAGACTTATCATTTAAAAAATATCTTCAGAGAGCCAGCTTTTGGTTTCTTTTCCTTGATTTTTCTCTTTTGATTTGTTGTTTTCAATTTCTTTGGATTCTGTTCTAATTTTTACTATTTCTTTTCTTGTGTTTACTTTGGATTTAACTTCCTTTTTATTCCTTAGTTTCCTGAAGTGAAATTTAGATTATTGATTTGAGATCTTTCTTCTTTTCTTATATGTGCATTCAATTTGTAAATTTGTTTCTAAGCCCTGCTTTCTGCTGCATCCCACAAATTTTGATAAGTTGTTTTAATTTAACTTTAATTTAAAATGTTTTTGAACTTTTTTCAGATTTCTTGTTTAACCTATGTGTTATTTAGAACTCTGTTGTTTAAACGCCATCTATTTTGAGGTCTGCTAGCTACCTTCCTATTAATAATTTGTAGTTTAACCTGGAGAAAACTAAACTTTTCAATCTGTTAGTATCTTTTGCCTTCCTTATGATATAATTTATTAGCACATTTAAAATTTTAGTTTCAGATTGATGTGAAAGTTTATTTTTCTCACATTCCCCTTTATATGTTTTCTTACTAAGAAGGTTTTTTGATGCGAATTCTTAGTGCTCTTGAACTTACAGGCCAGCCCCACATCGTCTAGTGGCATTTTGGCATCTCTTCTTTGTGGCAGAATTGTGGGAATTACATATCCCATCACTGAGCCAGCAGGTAGTATGGCTCTATTCTTGGTCTTTGTCTTTGTTTTCCTGCACCCTATGATCACTGTCTCCTATAAGCATAAGCCGTAGGTAGAATATGCAACAGCTTCTTTGGGCTTCAAGTTATGGTTTGGAACTTATTCAGTCTTTGATTTCAGACACTGAATCCAGCTTCAGTCTTCTAGTTTATATGGATCCATGTTCCTCCATGAGAATGGGAGTACTGACTATCACTGCTAGAGTCTGAATTGTGACAAAGAAGGTTTATGGCTCCAGTTGTGCTCTGTGCTTTGTACTGAAGTTCTATTTCTGTTCATGCTGATATTTGCTATTTGAGCCCAACTATGTCTTTTTGCATTTCTCTTATTATATTTAATTTGTCATTACTATATGTTGAAAGCTGATAAAGTGTACCAGATATAAACTTAATATGTCATCTTTGCCAGAAATCTTCTTATTTACTAAATGGAGAATTGAGGCTCAGAATGGAAATGTATCTTGACGAAGGCCTTAGAGTGATCTTGTCCTAGAGCCTGAGAGATACTCAGGTCTTCTGATTCCAAGCCCTGGGATTTTTCACTATTCCCAGGTGCTCAGAAACTGATACGAGGGAAAGGTCTCAGCATTGAGCTGCTTCCTGCCTTCTTGTAGGAATAAACTAGGAGTCAGAGGCAGCCACTGGGGGATTCAGTTGATGTTTCCTGATAAGCAGAGAAGATGTTTAACAGATTTCATCACTGCCAAGTTCATATCTGACTCAGAAATCTTTCTTTCAGCAAGCTGTCATGAGTCTGAGTTAAGCATCTCACCCAGAGTGTGCTGTGCCACATTCAGCAAGGGATCTTTGTGTTCACCAGAAAAACTAAAGCTCTCTAAATGGTATTTTCCATCTGGAGGCAACATAGCTTCCTTATAAAGAAGAAATAAGAAATAAAATTCATTTTTAATTTAAAATAGGCAAACATTTCATTGTGTGTTATACAAATAAATTAACACAAATGTCAACTGAAAAATGTCACTCAGCTTAAGGAAAAAATTTCCATGTCATTTGTGTTTGGGTAGGAAAGCAGTTCTTCAAAAGCTTGTTGCTGGCAAATGTCATCTGAGCAGAGACCCATTCCTTATACTATTGCATAGCTATGCAATTAAAGGCTACCAGACTCACTCAAGTATGCTATCACTTAAAAGTCTATAAAGATAAAATTATCAAGCAAATTGTTGTCTGAAATAAATGAAGATATTTTAATTAGAATATAAAGATAGATATTTATCTTCCTTGTGGTTACTTAACAAAATAAAAAAAAAAACCCAACCAGGGAAAAAAATGTTTTTGGTCCATCTAGCCATAGCAAATACTGCAGTCCCTCTAGCCATAGCAAATACTGCAGTCAGACCATGATATTAGAGTTTCTTCATGCCCCAGCTTGACTGTCTTAATGCACTGAGACTTCTTATACTTCTGCATTTGTGTGGCTTGTACCATGTCCCCTTGTACCCATGGCTTGTACCATGTACATATGACCCCTCTCTCCCTAATCCCCATAACCCCAAGTTCTAAACAAATCCCTATACACTTAGATATCCACCTCTACTTGCAAAATGTGCATTGGAAGATGATTTGTTAAGTTCTGTGCATTGTACCCTTCACATCTCTCATCACTCAGCCGTGATATAAGTAGGTATTCAGTCAACCGAATGCCAGAAGGAAGGTGGTTGCAGATAAAGGGCAGGCACAACCTCAGAAAGTTGTCATTACAGAACGTAGCTGCAGGAAGGGGGTATTTCCTCTGCTATGTTCCAAGATTAACACATGTAGCAGTTGACCAATGTGAACAGGCCAAGCAGAGGATGTTTAAAGGATCAAGTCAGTGTTTGTGTAATACTTTGAAGACAAAGGTGAAGATAATGAGCAAATTCTTATTATCACAAATAATCTAATAATTACTGTAATAATTATCCTCATTCAACCAGAGACCAGAAATAGAGATTTTCAAGTGTATTGAGTTTCATTAAGTATTACACATTCTACAGCTATAGTAGCACTCACTGTGAGAGGTAAAGCAGATTAAATAACCATGAACCACAAAGTCACTCTGCTCACTCCTCAGGTCTCAGATTGAGTTACCTTTCTCACACCTTGCAACCAAATTACACAGAGCAAAAAATGCACTAGAGGTGGGCTGAAAGGAGGCCAGAGAAGGGAGAGGGCAGGCTAGCTCCCAGTTTTTCCATCTCTGCATTGTCAAAAGATAAGTGAATATGTCTAATGAACCAGCTAATATCTTCGTGTTAAACTGACAGGTTGTTTCGACATCTTTAGACACAGCCAAACAAAGAATGAAAACAAACTGGTAGCCATGTTTGTAGTTCCTGATTATGGGCACAAAGCAACCAAACACACCTGCAAGAAGTGCTAAAATGTAGGCTTTGATGATAGCTTTGTTCAAGATCCTCATCAACCTCCTCACCTTCCATTAAATTTGTTGTGATAACGTAACTGTGGGGCATGTGTTGGTCCTGTCCAGATCAGAGTCAGACTCACATTTTACTCTCAAAAACAGGTGCTCAGCTGTAGCTGAAGTGCTCCATCACAGTCAGGTAGGTATGAGAGAATAACAGATGGGTTCCTAGGCATACACCATGCCAGGATTTAGAGACTAGGCCTGCATGTGGGAAGAGGTGATCAAATAATCAGGAGGCTTGATATTCTGCATTTAACCTAGTTTCCAAATCCCAGGGCTTGAAAACCTTGAATTTTAAAGATTAAGGGGAGTTTTGTGGCAGGCAGAGATATTCTACCTCATGGACTAGGGAGTAACGTTTGAAAATTTGATGTTATAGAGATGGTCTAAAAGAAATTTGAATCAATTAAGAGACAACAGTGCATTATATGTTAGGAAGGAAACTGTTATGGTCCGTTGTCTAGTCACAATGCAGTTCTACTCCAAAGGACCTCTTGGAGTCCACCTGAGGAAAAAACCCAAGGCTGGAAGGTTGGTGGTCTTGGCAGGTGTCCCTTCTCTGATGTGGCAAGAAAACCCGTGTTAGCAAGCATTAGCGCTACCTAAGACACAAGAGCCTGCTTTCCTCTCCTCTCTGCTTTCAGCCTTTCTGGATCATTCTTCCTGGAACACAGTCTGGGACCTTGCTTCAGGAACCTTTCCAACTTCTCTAAGATGGTCATCATCAAATACTCAAACACATGAGATCAGTGAGCTCTCAAGACTAAGCGACTGAAAGGGTCATATGGTTAAGAGGAGTGGAGGAAATAGCAACAGTTTTCCCAAATCACTGGAATTTTGGTCAAGAGACCTGGAATAAAGTCTCATCTGTGTCACCTAGAGCAAGTTATATGGGACTTCCTAAGAAGTAAAACAAAAACAAAAAACAAACTAACAAAAAACAGATGCAACAAAGCTTTTTTTTTTCTTCTTAACATGGAGTTAGCATAAAGGTAGAATGAGATGATCTTTTATTTCATAACTTTTTCTTTTGGTGTATTATTTAAAAATACCTTTCTATGCATGGATGATAAAGATAGTTTTCTATTTTTGTTATTTTGTTAAGAAGTTTTTGTTTTTTATATTTCGGTTTGTGTTTTAGTACTGTTTACACAAGGTTATTATTTTCCCCCATATGGATAGCCTATTGTGTTAATATCTTTCATATAATCAACTTTCTTAGTGATTTCTAATGTAATTTTTTGGTTATAAAGCACATCTTCATTAACATGCAGATTTCTTTCTGGGCTCTCTATTTTGTACATTTGTTATTCTCCTTTTGTGTAAATATATTCTTTTATAATTACTATAGCTCTAAGTAAGGTTTGGGTTCTAGTAGAAGTTATTCTTCCTAAAACTACCTCTTTCTTTTCCTCTTGGTTCTGTTTCATAGACTCTTTCCTTCTCTAATGATTTTTAACTCTTCTTAGATTTTTATCATAATTTATACATTTTAGAATTGATTGGAATGATTCCATTTCATTAAAATCTTATTGGAATTTTTATATGAATTGCATTTGATTTGCAGACTAATTTTGAGGAAAATTGATATTTTTACAAGATTGGGTTTTCCAAAAGTGAACATTATAATTTAATATACTTATTCTGGTTTTCTTTAATATCCTTTAAAATTTTTAATTATTTCATTGTAAATATCTGACACACTCCAGACTAATTTCTGGAATCTTTAAAAAATCATATTTTAATTGGTTACTGCTAATGGATAGAAAGAATATTGATTTATATTTGATGATCTTGTGCTCATCAAAATTGCTTGTAAGAATCAGGAGCCCAACAAGAAAAAGATACACTCAAATTAGGGTAATTTGAGAAGAGATTAGTAAAGGGATAATTTACAGAGGTGTGAGAGGGTATGTGAAATCTACTAGTGGTAATGCAGTAGGTCACGGCTAGGAATAGCAAGGATTCATTAGCACCTTTGTACCTGAAGGGACCAGAGGAAGGAGCGCAGGGAGACAAGAAGGTTCCTGTGGAGAAGTCTGCCTGACAGATGCTAAGACATTGGTGGAAGGGATCAGCTAGCCAGTGGTGAAGCAGAGTTGGGAGACTAACACCCTGTCCTCCCTTCTGATAGATCTCCTGCCTTTGCCCCTTTTCCTTCTCACCACCTGCCAAATACATTTGACGCTTATAGAAGTCAGTCTCCCAGGGCACTGAAAGAGTGAAGAGTAGAGAGTGGATGTGCAGGTGCAAATGAAAAATATTCCTGCTATTCCCGACATCTATTAGTTTTAGTATTTGTCTATAGATTTTCTTGTATTTACTAGATCGGCAATCATGACAGCATCAAATAACGATGTTGTTTCTATGAATCTTTCAACATATTCATTTTTTTTGTCTGATTTCACTAACTAGGTCCTCCCATATAATGTGAGCTGAAGATAGTGATAGTGTGTCAGTTTGTCTTGTCACTGACTTTAACGGGAGGACTTCTAAAATTTCAGCAGTAAGCAGGGTATTTACTTTAGTATGATTTTTGTTTTAGATTTATTTTATCATGTTAAGTAACATTGAGCTTCAGGTATACTGTACCTCAATCTGAGGAAAAGAGAAATGTTTGAAGTTTGATTTTTACAAGAATGGGTTCTATTGACACAACTCAACTCTTGTGATCTTATAAGTGAATGCATCTCCAAATCTAAATATATATATATAAATGTATAAAAGTATTTATTTAATACCAGCTGTATATACACAAGCTAACACCAAAAGCACTTTGTTTACTATAAAAATTCTAGAAATATTAGTTTTGATAATCTGAGTACGTACAGTCACATGACAATATATCTATTGGACATCCACCAAAATATCTGGTTTAAATGTTCAACTCTTTAATTAGTTGCAATTTATGCATAGTTAGTAAAGATATAATAATGACTTTGTCTACCCTTTAAAAAATGAACTATTGATGATTCATTTAACATAGATGAAAAACATCAGGTTCTCTTAATAACCTTGACTCATCTTTGCTCCTTTTTTTGTATCCGCCTATATTGGATATTGGAGTAGTATGCATCCTTCTTTAGATATGAGCTCCTTGGAGACAAGGACTTGTCTTATTTATTCCTGTATTTCTTATAGAACATTACACAGGGTTTTACATGCAATAGTAATGCATCTAACACTGGTTAAATAAATGAATGAATGGATACTGATGTCCTTTGTAGCATTGGTACTTTGGTTCAAATCTAGGGATGATGGAAGGTAGGCTTAAGGGACTATTACCACAAATGACTCCCAGCATCACGGGTGACCTGAGACAGGTTTCTGAAGAAATCTGCACATTCCATTCATTTTCACTAGTGTTAATGAAGAAAAAGAAAGGCTGGAGGGAAATTTGCACATTGAATCAATTAATAAAAAGATTGTATATAAGAAGTATCACGGGTTCTGTGTCTGGGCACTGCATACCCTCTATCCTAAATTATACTGAATAAATCTGTGGGTGAAAAAAACTTGAATGAATCTTTACTACAATTTCTCAGGTTCTAAATACTTATTCACCACTGTATTTAACATCAGCCACACTCTTTTTCTTGGCCTGCGTCTACATTTCTATGCACTTACTGTCTGGACGCACTTCTTAATTTTTAAACAAAGGCCTAGATAGGTACACATGCAGACACAGTATTAACAGAAGAAAAGCAGGAGCCATTTACAACTGGCACTTGTCCAGAACACAGACAGAGCCATGCCAGGGGCCGGAGGATTTTCAGTCTTCTCTGCTTATTGAAAACGGAATTGGAGAAAAGAGGCATTGCCGAGGCAGACAACCAGATAGAGTGGCTGCACCATCCGCAGGCTTGCTTCTGCCATACACCTTGTAAATTGATAACTTGGGATAAAATTTCCCAACCAGTAACTGGAAAAGAAGTGGGTTTTACAGCAAATCAAGTCAGGCTGGCAGCTTCCAATAAACAGAAAAAAGGTCATCTCTGTAACCTGGATAGGAAATCTCTGTCGGCTTTCCCCATCTCATCTTTAGCACAGATCTTCTATCATGTCAAGAGTTGACCTGGCCACTGCTTAGAAAATAATAATTGTATAATTAATGCATAAATCACATTTATTGAACACTTACCAGGTGCCAGTAACTGTGCTAATTGATTTATAAATATGATCTCATTTAATCTTCCCCAAAATCTCACTGTAATTATTTTGATTTCAGATAATAAAGCTAACACTCAGAGAACTTAAGTAATTTTCCTAACAATGCACAGCTAGTAAAGGGCAGAACCAGAGCCACGACTCAAGGTTAGTTTATCTGATGACAATGCCTGCTCTTCATAGTCTTCCTTCCACCTTCCCATTCCCAATTCTACCCCAGGTCACTCTCCCAGAATCCGCTGTACCCTCCACAGACTGTTAGCATAGTCCATCCAACAGTTTAATATGCTTAGTTGCTTAGATGGCTGCCAACCCACCAGGCTATGAACTCCTTGAATGCAGGAGTGAGTTCATCTCTGTCTCCCCACTGTGTAAGACAGTATCTGGTACAGAATGTGAACACAGGAATGATTTGATGACTGAGTAAGTAAATTACATAAACATCTGGTAAGGAGCTGCTTTGTTGAAGACCTCTCATTAGTTGCTTTACTGATAATTCCTACCCCTGTATGCAAAATGAAGTCACAAAATAGGATTCTTGTTTATTTTGAGATGTAGATGCTGCACCAGTGTTTTTTTTTTTTTTTTTTTTTTTTTGGTGGAACAAAAAATAAATGCATCAGCAGAAGAAAGTAAAATGTTCTCTTCAGGAATGGGTGATGCAGGAAAAGACTACAAGTTTAGAGTTAGGATCCTGAAGGACAGGTGGTCAGTCTGCAAGCATCAAATCAAAAAGGCTTGCTTCTCTCACCATCCAGAGCCCAGAGTGAGTTGGATCAATGTAAACGAAAAGCCACCTCTCAGGAAATAAGGCAGCTCCCCACAGACTGGGTGAAGTCGGCTTGCAGGACTTGGTCTCACTCTTTCTGAGAGAGTACCAGACAACAGGTCTGGTCTCCGAGTGTTCTCTTAGAAATGCAGCCATCACTGTGCAGCACACACTGAGGAGAAGCTATACCCTGATGGGATCAAAGAATATGGTCCAGGTTTTCAAAGACAGCTGAGAAGAAGGAACAAGCAACCCGGGTTGACTCTGTGGGCCCCCTGCATGGACCACACACAAGAGGATTCACACATACCTGGAGCTCCACCCACATGGGTTTAAGGTTTTTACCAGCTCCTTAGAGAGGAGACACTGGGGAGTGAGGCCAGTATTTACAGCATGTCATTCATCCTTTGTCCTCCATAAGGTCCCAGAGTAAACTCTATCAAGTTCCAATGCCGGAGTGTGTGTCCAATTATTCTTACCTGATCTTTAGTTAAAGAGCGAAAAGCTTTTCCAGATACGAACTGGATAGAGTCCATTAATTTACTGGAAAAGCCAAAGCAGTTAGGAAGCCCTTTTGGTAGGATCTTACCTGAAAGTTTTACATACTGATCAAAGACTTGGGGATCTACAGGAGTCTGTCCCCACCCACCCCAGATTGCTAAGAAGAATGGTATTTTAGGAGCACAGCAGGCTTGTGTAGAAATAATAGGAAAAATGGTAGACAAAGCTGCAGATAGAGACATACAAAGGTCTAACCTTTCCTAGTCAAGCCATTCATTTCTGTAGGTATCTTCCTGAGCTATCCTGAGTGTGCATTTCAGTGATGAATCCCAGATTGCTAGAAAGATGTGCCATATGTTTCTTGATATTCTAGTGGCCTCTATACTTAGAATAATACACATAATGTTGAGTAATAGGAAACTCTGGTTGCAATGCTTTGTAAGCGGTATGGTGGAACACATTGAGTGGACAGGTCCCTGAGAAAAGCCATTCAATATCTGTCATATCTGATAGCTACAATTGCCCATGGAAGCTCAGTATTCTGATATTCTGATGTCTTTTTTAAAAGTTAATTTCCTAAAAGGGCACGTAATATTACTAGGGGAGCCTCCTTTTCTGCTATGGAATCCCAGTAAAAGTGCACTTTTTATGATAATGTTAGTCACTGACAGGCACAGGTTAGGAAAGGTGAAATATTTTTAGATCAAATCACTAGGAAAGTATGTAAACCATAGGCTTTGGTATATGCACTTGAGTGCAGGCAGAGATGGAAATAAGGAATCTGTTGGCTCTTTATTCCTGATGAGTTCAGATTAAGTAATCATTCATCTCCATTAGTCACCCCCAACTCCCCCAACATACACACATGTGCCTACACACTGCTGTGCACACACAGGTCCAAGCCTGGTGCAAACATGGTTTCCCGTGTTCAGCCAGCAGCTTCCCACAGCTGGAATGGGGAACACCTGCATGGTGCTGCTTTGTGTCGGCTGCACTCACTCATAGGTGGCCTGGTTACCATCTGCATAGGTAAGGCCGACCAGACCTGGTCTATAACCACCAGCCCAGTTCCTACAGGCACAAAGTCAACCTGGACATAAAGCAGGCATCCTGCCATACCTGAGAGGCCTGCTTCATGTCCGTGGTTCTCTCTCACACAAAGAAGCCTATTTATTCCTCCCGCTCTCTTTCTTGATAGTCACATCTTCTCTTTGTTTTTAGTAGTTGAGTCATTCTGGGAGCTGGAGGGATAGGCTTGGGACTCAAAAATAAGTGGCTCTGTCACTGACTCATTCATTCATTTAAGAAACTGTTGTATACTGCTGTACACCAGGCTCTGCAGAGACAAACCTGCATAGAACTTCAGCCCTGACCTTCAGGGCCTCAGAGTCTAGTGGAAGAGACAAACTTGTAATCTCATAACTGCAGCCCAGTGTGATAGGAACCCTTAAATCAGTGCACATAAAGGATTTTGCAGGCATGAAAGAGAAAGCAACAGACTTCATCTGGAAGAGCTTGGGAAGATTTTACAGAAAACACTGTATCTGATGTGGGCATTGACAAAGACATAGGAGTTTGCTGGCTAGAGAAGTGGAGAAAGCTATAAAGTCACAAGTAAGAAACCACAATGCTGGTTTAGAAATGGCAGATCGGGGAATAAGAGGCAAAAGCAAATGATTTTACAATTGAATTAACTTAAAAATCAACAACTAGAAGACCTCAGGAAAATTCCCAAATATTTGGAAACTAAATAATATATTTATAAATAACTTGTGAGTCAAAGATGCAATCCAAAGAGAAAAGGAAGCATTTTGAACTGAATTGAAGTGAAAGTTAATATATCAAAATTTGTGGGAGACTGCTTAACCAGAAATTAGGGGGAATTTATAGCATTAAATGCCTCATAAAAGAAGAAAGGTCTCAAGTTTCCACCCTAAGAAGCAAGAAAAAGAAGAACAACTTAAACTCGAAGTAAGTAGAAAAAAAGAAAGAAAGATCAGAGCAGAAGTCAATGATATTAATATCAGAAAAACAGTAGAGAGAATCAGTGAGACCAAAAACAGTCTCTTTAAGAAGATTAATAAAATCAATCAACCTCTAGCCAGATTGATGAGCGTGAAAAATAGAGAAGGCACAAATTACAAATATAAGGAATGAGAAAGCTGGGATCAGTACAGATTCTACAGATATTAACAGTATAATAAGGGAATAGTATTAACAGGTTTATGTTAATAAATTCAGCAACTTAAATGAAATGGACAAATCTCTATAAAGATATGAACTACCAAAGCTCACTCAAGAATTATTAGATAATATAAACAGCCCTAGGTTTATTAAAGAAATTTAATTTGTAGTAAAAAAAGAACTTTTTTTTTTTCAGAGAAAACTCCCAGATGGTGTCACTGGTGAAATCTACCAAACATAAAAAAAAAATATGACCAGTTTTGCATACTCTCTTCTAGAAAATTTTGATGAGGAGAAACTATTATCCAACACATTCTGTGAGCTAGTAGTACTTTGATATGAAAGTCAGACAGAGACATCACAATAAAACTACAGACCAATGTTTCACGAACATATTTATGAAATTTCAAGCAAAAATTTAGTAAATTGAATATATCATGGCTAAGTGGACCTATCCAAGGAATGCAGAATTAGCATAATATTCAAAAATCAATGTAATCTATCGCATTAACATACCAAAAATTTTTAAAAATGGCAATCTCAATAAAAATAGACAATGCTTTTGAAAAAAATTTCCAACATGCATTCTTGATGAAAAAAATCTCTCAACCAATTAGAAACAGAAGAAAACTTTCTCAACTCCATAAAAAGTATCAAATTAAAAACTTTTAGTAAACACCATACTGGAAAAAGACTGAATATGTTCTCTCTAAGATCAGGAAGAAGACAAGAATGACAGCTTCAACCCCTTCTAATTAACTCTGTGCCAGAGATTGTAGCCAGTGCAATAAGGTAAAGAAAAAAAGTCACTGAGATTGAAAAGGAAAAAAATAATTCTACCTTTATTTTCAGATGACATGATCACCTATTAGAAAATTTGATGTAATCTGAAATCTCAATTAAGATGGCTGATAAGAGGCAGGACTAGCTTGCAGCTCTCGATCAGATGGATAGACCAGCGTGTGGAGACTCACATCATGAACTTTTGCTTCAAGAACTACTGTAGGAACATACCAGCAAAGCTGAGAGAACCCACAGACCCTTTGAAGGAACTTGATCACTGCTGTATGCTCCCTGGGACACCAAAAAACTGTGAGTCTGCTTGCTTTCTCAATGGGGAGGCTCGTGGTCTGGAGCAAGTTCTCAGCCCTGGTCACCGGCTGCCAAAAAATAGACTCAGTGCTGTTGGTGGGGCACTGTGGGAGTGAGACTGGCCTTTAGGACTGTGGGCTGTGTGGGAGCGGGGTGAGGCCTGTGACTACTGGCTTTTCCCCACTTCCCTGGTGAGCTGTATGACTCAGCAGAGGCAGCCATAATCCCTTTGGGAATATAACTTCACTGGACTTGGGGAACCATCCCCCATCCCCCACAGCAGCGGCAGCAAGCCCTGCCCAAGGAGGGGCTGAGCTCAGACCTGCCTATCCCTGCCCACACCTGACGGTCTTTCTCTACCCATCCTGGTAACCAAAGACAAAGGTCATAATCTCTTCAGAGTTCTATGGCCCTGCCCACCACCTGAGAAACCTGAATACTTAACCCGGTGTCCCTAGGGCAAGTTTGCATCCTACCTATATGACCACAGCTGATGTGCTCTTGAAGGTGCCACCTCTTGGCTGGAGGCCAACCAACACAAAACCAGTGCACTAAACAAAAACACAACCAAGGACCCTCACAGAGTCCACTTCACTCCCCTGCTATCACCACCGGAGCAGGTGCTGGTATCCATGGCTGCAAGACCTGAAGACAGATCACATCACAAGACATTTTTCAGACATTCCCCAGTACCAGCTCAGAGCCTGGTAGCTCCGCTGGGTGGCTAGACCCAGAAGAGAAAAAGACAATCACTATAGATTGGCTCTCAGGAAGCCCCATTCCTAGGAGAAGGGGAGGAACCACATCAAGGGAGCATCCAGTGGGACAAAAGAATCTAAATAGCAGCCCTTAAGTCCCAGATCTTCCCTCTGACATAGTCTATCCAAATGAGAAGGAACCAGAAAAACAATTCTGGTAATATGACAAAACAAGCTTCTTTAACACCACCCAAAATCGTACCACCTCACTAGCAATGGATCCGAACAATGACAAAATTTCTGAATTGCCAAAAAAAAAAGCATTCAGAAGGCTGACTATTAAGCTAATCAAGGAGGCACCAGAGAAAGGTGAAGTCCAACTTAAAGAAATCAGAAACATAATATAGGATACGAAAGGAAACTTCTTCAGTGAAATAGATAGCACAAATGAAAAATGATCACAACTTCTGGAAATCAAGGACACACTTAGACAAATGCAAAATGCACTGGAAAGTCTCAGCAATATAGTCAAACAAGCAGAAGAAAGAACTTCAGAGCTCAAAGACAAGGCTTTCAGATTAAAAAGAATTTTTTAAAACAAACGAGTCCTCCAAGAAATTTGGGACTATCTTAAATGTGCAAACCTAAGAATAATTCCTGAGGAAGAAGATAAATCTAAAAATTTAGAAAACAGCTTTGAGGGAATAATTGAGGAAACCTTCCCTGGCTTTGTTAGAGATCTAGACATCCAAATACAAGAAGCTCAAAGAACACCTGGGAAATTCATCGCAAAAAGATCATTGTCTAGACACATAGTCATTAGGTTATCTAAAGTCAAGACAAGGGAAAGAGTCTTAAGAGCTGTGAGGCAAAAGCATCAGGTAATCTGTAGAGGAAAACCTTTGAGGGTAACAGCAGATTTCTCAGCAGAAACCCTGCAAGCTAGAAGGGATTGGTGTCCTGTTTTTAGGCTCCTTAAAATAATTATCAGCCAAGAATTTTTTATCCATTGAAAGTAAGCTTCATACATGAAAGAAAGATGCAGTCTTTTCCAGGCAAACAAATGCTGAGTGCATCCACCACTACCAAGCCAGCACTAGAAGAACTGCTAATAGGAGCTTTACATCTTGAAACAAATCCACCAAAATAGAACTTCCTTAAAGTATAAATCCCACAGGATCTATATAACAACAACACAATGAAAAAACAAACAACGTATTCAGGCAAAATTAGCACAATGTATAGAATAGCACCTCACATCTCAATACTAACATTGAATGTTAATGGTCTAAATGTTCCATTAAAAGATACAGAATGGCAGAATAGATAATAATTCACCCACCAAGTTTCTGCTGTCTTCAGGAGACTCACCTAACACATAAAGACTCACATAAACTTAAGGTAAAGGGGTAGAAAAGGATATTGCATGTCAATGGACACCAAAAGCAAGCAGGAGTAACTATTCTTATATCAGACAAAACAAACTTTAAAGCAACAGCAGTTGAAAAGGACAAAGAGGGACATTATATAAGGATGAAAGGACTAGTCCAACAGGAAAATATCGCAATTCTAAATATATATGCACCTAACACTGGAACTCCCAAATTTGTAAGAAATTTACTGCTAGACCTAGTAAATGAGATAGACAGCAACACCATAATAGTGGGGGACTTTAATACTCCACTAACAGCACTGGACAGGTCATCAAGACAGAAAGTCAACAAAGAAACAATGGACTTAAACTATACCCTACAAGAAATGGACTCAAGAGATATTAGAAAACATTCTACCCAATAACCACAGAATATACACTCATTCATTAGCACATGGAACATTCTCCAAGATAGACCATATGATAGGCCACAAGACAAGTCTCAGTAAATTTAAGAAAATCAAAATTATATTAAGTACTCTCTTGGACCACAGAGGAATAGAATTGGAAATCAACTCCAAAAGGAACCCTGAAAACCATGAAAATACATGGAAATTAAATAACCTGCTCCTCAATAATTGTTGGGTCAACAATGAAATCAAGATGGAAATTTAAAAATTCCTTCAGCTGAACAATAATAGTGACACAATCTATCAAAACCTCTGGGATACAACAAAAGCAATGCTAAGAGGAAAGCTCATAGCATTAAATGCCCACATCAAAAAGTCTGAAAGAGCACAAATAGATCATCTAAGCTTACACTTCACGAAACTGGAGAAACAAGAACAATTGACCCCCAAACCCAGCAGAAGAAAAGAAATAACGAAGATCAAAGCAGAAGTAAATGAAATTGAAACAAAAATACAGTACATAAGATAAATGAAATAAAACCTGGTTATCTGAAAAGATAAATAAAATTGACAGGCCATTAGCTATATTAACCAAGAAGAGAGAAGATTCAAATAAGCTCAGTTAGAAATAAAGTGGGAGATATTGCAACTGATACCACAGAAATAGAAAAGATTATTCAAGGCTACTGTGAACAGCTTTATGCGCATAAACTAGAGAACCTAGAGGAGATAGATAAATAACTGGAAATATTCAACCCTCCTAAATTAAACCAGAAAGATGTGGAATCTCTGAATAGACAAATAACAAGCAGTGAGATCGAAATGGTATTTAGAAAATGGCCAATAAAAAAGTTCAGGACCAGATGGATTCACAACTGAATTCTATAAGACATTCAAAAGAATTGATACCAATCCTATTGACACTTTTCCAAAAGATAAAGAAAGAGGGAATCCTCCCTAAATCATTCTGTGAAGCCAGTATCACCCTATTACCAAATCCAGGGAAGAATATAACATAAAATGAAAACTGCAGACCAATATTCCTGATGAAAATAGATGCAAAAATCCTCAACAAAATGCTAGTGAACCAAATCCCACAGCACATCAAAAAGATAATCCACCGTGATTAAGTGGGTTGCATACCAGGGATGCAGGGACGGTTTAACATACATAAACCAATGAATGTGACACACCACACAAACAGAATTAAAAACAAAAATCACATGATCATGTCAATAGACACAGAAAAAGCATTTGACAAAATCCAGCATTGCTTTACGATTAAAACCCTCAGCAAAATTGGCATAGAAGGGACGTACATTAAGGTAATAAAAGCTATCTCTGACAAACCCACAGCCAATATTATACTGGATGGAGAAAAGGTGAAAGCATTCCCACTGATAACTGGAACAAGACAAGGATGTCCACTTTCACTACTTCTATTCAACATGGTACTGGAAGTCCTAGCCAGAGCAAACAGACAGAAAAAAATAAAGAGCATCCAAATCGGTAAAGAGGAAGTCAAACTGTCCTCTTTGCTGATAATATGATCGCATACCTAGAAAACTCTAAAGACTCATCTTAAAACCTCCTAGAACTGATGAATAAATTCAGCAAAATTTCAGGATACAAAATTAATGTACACAAATCAGTAGCTCTGCTATACACCGACAATGACCAAGCTGAGAATCAAATCAAGAACACCCAACCCCTTTCACAATAACTGCAAAAATAAAATAAAATACTTAGGAATATACCTAACCAAGGAGTTGAAAGAGATCTACAAGAAAAAGTACAAAACACTGCTGAAAGAAATCCTAGATGACACAAACAAATGGAAACACATCCCATGGTCCTGGATGGGTAGAATCAATATTTTGAAAATGACCATATTGCCAAAAGCAATCTACAAATTCAATGCAATTTCCATCAAAATACCACCATCATTCTTCACAGAACTAAGAAAAAGCAATCCTAAAATTCATATGGAACCAAAAAGTAGCCCACATAGCCAAAGCAAGACTAAGCAAAAAGAACAAATCTGGAGGCATCACTCTACCAGACTTCAAACTATACTGTAAGGCCATAGTCATCAAAACAGCATGGTACTGGTATAAAAATAGAGACATAGACCAATGGAACAGAATAGAGTACCCAGAAATAAAGCCAAGTACTTAGAGCCAACTGATCTTTGACAAAGCAAACACAAACATAAAATGGGGAAAGGACATGTAGAAGAATGAAACTGGATCCTCATATCTCACCTTGTACAAAAATCAACCCAAAATGAATCAAAAACTTAAATCTAAGACCTGAAACCATAAGGATTCTAGAAGATAACCCTGGAAAAATCCTTCTAGTTGCTGGCTTAGGCAAAGACTTCCAAGAACCAAAAAACCAAAGCAAATGTAAATGCAACAAAGAACCAAAAACCCAAAAGCAAATACAACAAAAACAAAGATAAATAGATGGGACTAAATTAAACTGAAAAGCTTCTGCACAGCCAAAGAAATAATCACAAGAGTTAACAGACAACTCACAGAGTGGGAGAAAATCTTCACAATCTAACGAGGGGTTAATATCCAGAATCTACAAGGAACTCAAACAAATCAGTAAGAAAAAAAAAAAAGAAAAAATAAACCCATCAAAAAATGGGCTAATGACATGAATATGTAATTCTCAAAAGAAGATATGCAAATGGCCAAAAAGCATATGGAAACATGCTCAATATCACTAACTATCATGGAAATGTAAATCAAAACTACAATGCAATACAACCTCACTCCAGCAAGAATGGCCAAAAAAAAAAAAAAAAAAAGATAGATAGATGTGGTAAAAAGGGAACATGTTTACACTGTTGGTGGGAATTTGAACTAGTACAACCACTATGGAAAACAGAGTGGAAATTTCTTAAAGAACTAAAAATAGATCTACCATTTGATCCAGCAATCCCACTCCTGGGTATCTACCCAGAGGAAAAGAAGTTATACGAAAAGGATAACTGCACATGCATGTTTATAGCAGCACAATTTGCAGTTTCCAAAATAGGGAACCAGCCCAAATTCCCATCAATCAACGAGTGGATAAAGAAAATTGCCATCAATCAATGAGTGGATAAAGAAAATTCCCATAAATCAATGAGTGGATAAAGAAAATTGCCATCAATCAATGAGTGGGTAAAGAAACCATGGAATACTATGGAACCATTAAAAGGAATGAAATAATGGCATTTGCAGCAACCTGGATGGAATTGGAGACTACTATTCTAAGTGAAGTAACTCGGGAATAAATAAAACAAACATCATATGTTCTCACCCATATTTGGGAGCTAAGCTATGAGTATGTAAAAGCATAAGAATGATACATTGGACATTGGGGACTCCAGAGAAAGGGTGGGGAGTGGTGAGGGATAAAAGACTACACATCGGGTACAGTGTACACTGCTCAGGTGATGAGTGCACCTAATCCTCAGAAATCACTACTGAATAACTTATTCATGTAACCAAACACCTCCGGTTA
The DNA here is from genome assembly GCF_000001405.40 of Homo sapiens. Lineage (NCBI taxonomy): Eukaryota > Metazoa > Chordata > Mammalia > Primates > Hominidae > Homo > Homo sapiens. Next base: position 19,179,428 of record NC_000002.12, on the reverse strand, counting down.
CCCCAAAAACCTATTGAAATAAAAAAAATTTTAAATTAAAAGAAAGAAAAAAATAAGCACCCTTTTCTCCTGTTACAAAAAAAGAAAATTTAATGTAATCTACAAAATGGATAAACAAACTGGAACATCCAGACAACAGAATATTATTCTATATAAGACATGAGCTATTAAGCCATGAAAAGACAAGAAGGAAACTTAAATGCATTTTCCTAAGTGAAATAAGTCAAATGAAAATTCAACATGTGTATGTTTGCAACTATATGACATTCTGGAAAAGGCAAAACTATAAAGACAGCAAAAACATTTGTGGTTGCCAAGGGTTTTAGCTGGGTGTAGGAATAGAATGAGCAGGTGGAGCAAGGCATTTTTAGGTAAGTGAAACACTTTTGTGTGATACTGTAATGGTGGATACACGACATTATACATTTGCCAAAACTCACAGAATTGTACAACACCAAGTGTGAGTCCTAATGTAAGCTATGGACTTTAGTTAATAATAATGTATTGATATTGGTTTTCAGTTATAACAAATGTGCCTCACCAATGCAAGATGCAACTACAGGGTTAACAAGGTGGGGCAGTGAGGCTGAGATGAGGTGGAGAGGGTATATGGGAACTCTTCACTTTCTATTCAGTTTTTCTGTATACTTAAGATTGCTCTAAAATCAAGTCTCTGTCTATATATGTTTTAAATAGGGACTCACTGCAGAGTGATTTTAATCAGAACTGTGCGAAATTCAGACTCTGCAGGAGGGTCTGGAAGGGGAAACTAAAAGCAAGCACATCAAGTAGGAGGATATTGCCATAGTGAGTAGGCACTTGGGGCCTGAGTAGGATGGTAGCAGCTAGAAGGGACAGAAATAATGTGAGAAGGCTCCAAAGAATTAGGAGAGCCTAGTGACACCTTAGCTGTGACTGTGAAGAAGAGAGAAGCCAGGGTACATTAGTATTTGCAGACTTCTGATCTAGTCTTGGCTCAGATTCTGACACATTGTGTGAGCTCTGGCAAGCGACTTGGTATTTCTGGACCTTGATTATCTCAGGAATGCCCTGGAGGCATCACTCTCATGTACAGGCTCAAGATCCAACCATCAGAGCTGCCTGTCCGGTACACTAGCTATTAACTTCACATGGCTATTGCACACTGGAAGTGTGGCTAGTCTGAATTGAGATGTGCTGTTTGTGTGAAACAGTGCAAAAAGACTGCAAAGAAACAGTGCAAAATGGACTGAAAATGTCTTATTCATAATTTTTATATGGATAACATTTAAATTATAGTAGTTTGGATATATTACGTTAAAAAATACATATTATTAAATAAATGTCATCTGTTTCATTTTGCAGTTTTGATGTGACCGCTAGAAAATTCAAAATTACATACGTGGCTTGCAGTTGTGGCTGACCTTATATGTCTATTGCATAGCAGTGGCCTCTCTTCACCAGATGCTTTGTGTTCAGAAACATCTACAATTGGCCTGGAAAATGTTGTCTGCCTACACAGGGCCATGCCCCACTCTAGGATGGGAGTGGGATGGAGAGAGGCAGACCTGTTAGGCAAAGAGACCCTAAGATAACTTGGGACTCCCTGTGAGTCATTTTCCTACCCACTTAGGCGGTATATCCTGGAGAAATCCTTCCAAGTAGTAGTCCAATCGCAATTCCCCAGAATATCTAGAAGAAAAGGCCAGAATTTCTTTCTCAAATGCAGAGATAATCCCTCACAGTTCCTCCTTTCTTCTGCCTCCATGCAAAAATTAGCAATTTAAAGTGACCCAGGTGGCTGCTTCTCTCACCTCATCTCACCTTGAGACCTGGCAGTGAGAAAAACCACAAATGATAATTTCCATGTTGAACCAAGACTGATACCAACATGGAGAAAACTTCCTAGTCTCCCACCCGCTAGGAAGAAATCAGGCTTGAACCATATATGTTCTTAGTGGTCCTAGGACTCTGATGGTTTTTTCCAAGCACCTTAGGTGTGCAGTACCCAGATCACATATACCTGTACCTCTTACCTGTTCCAGGAACACCGTACTGTGCATATATCTTGCCTGTATCTATTTCATTTGTCCTTTCTTACGTTTCCTTTTTCACACCTGGCCCTCAGATAAAGACCCATGTAGTATCCATGTCCCCATATTTACAACCAATGAGACTCAGAAATGTAGTCATTGCCTGCTTTCATGAGTCCTGGCTCAGATCGAAAGTATTCAGTTCTCTAACATCATCAATGAAACCTGATATCCTTAGTCTGGTATTTAGCCTTTCATATAATGACTCAAGCCAATTTTCCTGATATATATCTCATTTCTCAGAAGAACAGGGTTTCGTCCTTCCCATCAGCAAATTCTTCAACATGTAGAAAAGAAACTTTGGCGTGTTAGCAGTCATGGAATGGCATGGCTGTAGAGGCCAAAGTGACCTGATACAGAAAAAAAAAACAAAAAAACTTGTCTGTGAAGTCTTCTGTTACATCTTAAACATTCATGCAAATTTTATGTTCCATTACACACACACACATACACACACACACAAACGTATTAAATTACCATTTAGGGAAATTGTTGCTTCAGGATGATGATCATGAATTCTTATATCCCTTGCACCTAGCCAAGCACTCCCAAGTGTAGGTATTACCTAATTTAAGGAAAAATGCACAACGGAAACTTCTACTTCAGCCAGTCTCGTTTCTTCAGCTAGGAAATATCTCTCAAGTTTTTCTGTTCCCACCCCCACCAGGAACTAGCTGGCATCTTAGAAGGCCTGAAGTATCTGAATTCCTTCTACCTATTTGAGTTCCAGTCAAGTTTTACTGCTTCCTGGCACCTTCCCTGACCACTCCATCAGGACATGGGTTTCTGCCTCCTTGAACTACTGCAACAGTGTCTCTGTCCCTCTTTGGTTCTTAGCTGCTAGATCATGGGCTGTGCAATTTTTTTATGTCTCCCTCACTGCAGCTTGAGGTTTGGAAAGGCAGGGCCCATGTCAGTCTTGTTCATAGTTATT